>NC_000023.11:83674663-83977693 GCF_000001405.40 Homo sapiens | reverse complement strand
ACTTAATCACACTACAGTTTTCTCAAAATTCTACTATCGTTTAGTATGTAGATGAGCTATTGTTATGTTCTCCCACTAAAGAGCACTCCGAAATTGACTCAGTTTACTTTTCACAGCAACTTGCATATAAAAGTCACAAGGCTTCACTGGAAAAACTTCAGTTTTCAAGAGAAAAAGTCCAGTATTCAAAACGTGACTTGACTACTGAAGGAGTTTCCCTCTCAAATAAGAGAATAAAAGCTGTTCAAAGTTTTCCTTGGCCTGCAACCAGAAGACATTTAAGAGGCTTCTTTGGTCTTGCAGGATATTGCAAATCCTTGGTTCCAAATTTTTTGCTTAATGGCTTCATCATTGTATGAGCTCACTAAAAATGTTGTACCAGAGACTTTACCTAGGGAAGATAGTCATGATCAGGCTTTTATCCAAATAAAATTGACGTTACAACAGCCCCCAGCTTTACGACTTCCAAATTACACAAAACCTTTTACTTTGTTGGTTCATGAATGTAACAATTAGGCATAAGGAGTCCTTACCCAAGATCATGGTAGTAATCATAGGCCCAGTGCATACTACACCATGAAATTAGGCTCAGTAGCTAAGGCATATAAATTGTTTAAAAGCAGTAGCAGCAGCAGCCAAGCTGGTAGAACCTTCATCAGATCAGATCTTAGAAAATGAACTTAATTTGCAAGCTCCAAATGTTGTGAAAAATCTATTAAATTCCAACCAAACACAGCATTTCTTAGCTCCTTGAACCTGGGATCCACATTTCACAACTCAGCAGGGCCCCTTCAGACTCCTGAATCTGTACACCTGTTAGATACTTTAAGGTAAAGATGACCAGGGAAATCTCTCCCCAGAAGGAGATGGCATCTTAGTGGTGGACCGCTTTCCCAAGATCATAGATCAAGATTTCTCTATCATCATAAAAGCTTTATTTTTTTCTCATTTTTTATCACCCCAATTCTTTCATTTTCCCTACAGGAAAATCCATGGGACCATAATCAGTGGATGCTTTTAGGCTAAGCTTATGCTGTAGCACAAAACCAGAGTAATTGTTGAGTTTATGGCTTAATATCAAAAAATCAGGAAACAATTCCACTGATGCAAATGCCTCTCTGTGTTCCCAGTAAAAGTCACCCTAAACTCCAAGGAAAGAATAGGAAGCTATTCTTGATATTCTAAACATCACTGCTACTTGCTTTCCTATACTCACTAAGAACAACACTCTTTTGCAATTGATAACTCAATTATTACCAAATATAAAATATCAATTTAAGTGATGCCTGCAAAAGATATATTGTGCTTTCAGGCATAACACACTCAAGATTTGAGTATTACCTATGTTGGTACAAGTAATTGCTTGTATATTGTCACCAGATTAGATCCATTGGTCTTTTTTTTTTAATAGATGTTGTTATACACCCTTACAACATGCTATAAAGGGGCCACAAAAAAGTAAATTTCCTACTTGATCTTGTTCAGGAGCTACAGATTTATGGATGAACAAACCTGACTGACTCTTGCTCAAATGTAACTAGGTGGCCCTCTTTTTCAACCCCTGAGGGCCTATATTGAGTCTGTGGAGAATCTGTTTATTTATTCTGCCTTTTCTTTGGTTTGGATCTTGTTATTTGGCCTGGATCACTCCTGCCTTTCGAATAGCTTCCCCTGATTATTCCCATAATAGCCCTTATAGTTGGAAGTCAAAATGATCAATAACTGAAATTATCACTAGCCTTGAAATAGATGAGGATAAACTTGTTTTCACTGAGGAAATATTTCCTCAATGGGTTCCTTTGGAGCTCATTTTTGGTGGTAGTGGGGTGCCAGCTGTATGGAATTTACAGCTAATTTATAAATTGGGAAAAATTTTGGATTTTGTAGCAAGTCAGACCTCCCAGGGTTTCAGGCTGGTAGAAACTACTCCCCAAAATGTAGACGATAACACATATATTCAACAAAAACACATAATAGAATATCATGCAGCTTTAGATTTTCTTTTAGCCCAAGCTGGGGGCTCATGTTTGGTGTTGAACAAAACTAAATGTTGTACTTATCTCTCTTCTGATTTTACTACTACAAAAAGCTTAATCAAAAAGGTGGTTAATACTGCTGTTTTCTTAGACACTGCCACCAAACACATTAAAGAAATTGCTCAGGAGAAAGGAACACATGATATATTTACAGGAGCAACTAACAGTTGGTTGGCAGGCATCTTGAGTGGTGGATGGTAAGCTTGGGTTTTTCAAGTGTTTCTAATCATTATATTTCTTTTAGTAGGTTTCCAGGTTATTATGATTTGTGTTACCAGAGTAACGATGAAGATGAGTACTTCTTTAAATCAGGTCACTTTACAGTGAACTATGGTCCTTAATCACTATCACATTCCAAACAAGGACTATGACCAATTAGACCCTAGTATTGTTGAGTTGCCTATATTATCTGAATCTTATCTTGTTTAATTTGGTTCAGTTAATTTTCATAACTCTTGTTATGGAATACACCTTGGCGTTTTCATATTCTCCTCTTGATAATCATAATAGTCCTCCTGATGCACTGTATTCTTTCAAGTCTTAAATGTTTTGCATGCAGCCATCCATTGTGAATTGAATGGTCTCACTCCATTCTACCCATTTCTTTAGGTCAGCAAGAATACAAAGAATCATTCAGTTGGTACAAAGCTGTGATTTGTGATTCCATAATGACACAAAACAAGACTTGTAAACTACATACTGCAGCTAAAGAAGACTTGTGAATTCCATTCTGAGACCAACTATTTTAGGATGGTGACAGAGAGTGGCATCAATGACTAAACTTTTGTTCAATCTCTGTAAATTGAGAGGTTGACCAAATGGGATATTGTTAAATTGAACTAAATACGGCCTGAGACATCCATACTTGAGTCCTTTTGGACAAACCGTAACTTAACTTAGGAGTATGCTTTTGTGGCAATAGCTGAGTCTCAGCCAATCCTAGTAGCCATATTTCAACCACGCATAGGTCACTGACTGTTCAAACTGTGTTCAAATAAGGCAAACACCAAACTGTAACCAATCCAGCTGTTTCTGAAACTTACCTCCATTTTCTGTATGTCATTTTTCTTTTTCTGTCTATAAATTTGCTCTCTTCATGAAGCATCCCTGGAGTCTTTCTGAATCTGCTGTGATTCTGGAGGCTGGCTGATTTGCAAATTCATTTCTTTCTTGCTCAATTAAATCAATTAAACTGAATTTGTCTAAAGTTTTTCTTTTAATATGCTTCAGTGCCCCTTTCAGGAAAACAAAGTTAAATCTAGGTACTATGAGTACTCACCTGACTTTTGTTTATTATAAAGGTGTTTTTTGTTTGTTTGTTTTTTTCTGTGTAGGTTGTTAACTTGGTGTCCTTGTGGAGGGGATGATCGGTGGGGCTTTCAATTCTGCTATCTTACTCCACCTCTTTCTTATTTGTCTTCATTTATGTTTTGTATCACTTTGTTGGACTCAATATTATTTAGTCCTGCTCTTATCTTTATTATTATTTTCCTCTTCTAGCTTTGGGCTTGATTGTCTTTGTTGATTCAGTTCCTTGAGGTGTCATGTTAAGTTGTTAATTTGGTTTTTCTCAATGTGTTTGATGTAGGCGTTCAAGACTATGTAATTTCCTTTTAGCACTACTTTTACTGTAGTGCAAAAAAACCCAAAGGTTTTGTTATATAATGATTTCATTTTTTCTTCAACTTATATTTTAAGTTCTGGGGTACATGTGCTGGATGGGTAGCTTTGTTACATAAGTAAACATGTGCCATGGTAGTTTGCTGCACCAATCAACTTATCACCTAGGTATTAAGCCCATCATCTATTTGCTATTCTTTCTGAGGCTCTCTCTCCCACCACCCTGCTGACAGGCTCCAGTGTGCGTTGTTCCCCTACCATGTGTCCCTGTGTTCTCAACATTCAGCTCCCACTTATAAGTTAGAACTTGCGGTGTTTGGTTTTCTCTTCCTAGGTTAGTTTGCTGAGGGTAACAGTTTCCAGCTTTATCCATGTCCCTGCAGAGGACATCATCTCCTTTCTTTTTATGGCTGCATAGTATTCCATGGTGTTTATATACTACATTTTCTTTATGCAGTCTATCATTGATGGGAATTTGGGTAGATTCCATGTCTTTGCTATTATCAATAGTGCTGCAATAAACATGTGTGTGCATGTATCTTTACAATTGAATGATTTATATTCCTTTGGGTATATACCCCATAATGGGATACTGGGTCAAATAGTACTTTTTGTTCTAGATCTTTGAAAAATCACCACACTCTCTTCCACAATGGTTGAACTAATTTACATTTCCACTGAGAGTATAAAAGTGTTCCTCTTTCTCTGCAACCTCACCTGCATCTGTTGTTTCTTGAAATTTTAATAATTGCCATTCTGACTGGCATGAGATAGTATCTCATTGTGATTTTGATTTACATATATGTAATGATCAGTGATATTGAGCTTTTTTTTATATGTTTGTTAACAACATCAATGTCTTTTTTTGAGAAGTGTTCGTTCATGTCCCTTGCCCACTTTTTAATAGATTTGGTTTTGTTTTGTATATTAAGTTCCTTGTAGACTCTGGATATTAGACCTTTGTCAGACAAATAGATTGCTACAATTTTCTCCCATTATGTAGGTTGCCTGTTCACTCTGATGATAGGTTTTTTGTTTGTTTTGCCATGAAGCAGCTCATTAGTTCAATTAGATCCCATTTGTCAATTTCAGCTTTTGTTGTAATTGCATTTGGCATTTTCATTATGAAATCTTTGCCCATGCCTATGTCCTGAAAAATATTGCCTAGATTTTCTTCTAGGGTTTTTTTTAAATTTGGCATTATACATTTAAGTCTTTACTCCATCTTAAGTTAATTATTGTATACGGTGTAAGAAAGGAGTCCAGTTTCAATTTTCTGCATATGGCTAACCAGTTTTTCCAGCACAATTTATTAAATAGAAAATACTTTCCTCATTCATTGTTTCTGTTGGGTTTGTCAAAGATCATATAATTGTAGGTGTGTGGTCTTATTTCTGAGTTCCCTATTTTGTTCCATTGGTCTATGTGTCTGTTTTTGTACCTGTCCTATGCTATTTTGGTTATGTAGACTTGTAGTATAGTTTGAAGTCTGGTAGCATGATGTTTCCAGCTTTGTTCTTTTTGCTTAAGATTGTCTTGGCTATTTGGGCATATTTTTGGTTACATATGAATATTAGAATAATTTTTTCTAATTCTGTGAAGAATGTCAATGGTGGTTTAATGGAGAAAGCATTGAATCTATAAATTACTTTGGGCACTATGGCCATTTTCACAATATTGATTCTTTCTATCTAAGAGCATAGATTTTTTTTGTATTTATTTGTGTCCTCTTTGATTGCCTTGAGCAGTGGTCTGTAGTTTTCTTTGAAGAGGTTCTTTGCTTCCTTTGTTAGCTGTATTCCTAGGTATTTTATTCTCTTAGTAGCAATTGTGAATGGGAGTTCTTTTATGATTTGGCTCTCTGCTTGCCTGTTGTTTGTGTGTAGGAATGTTAGCAATTTTTGCACATCAATTTTGTATACTGAGACTTTGCTGAAGTTGTTTATCAGCTTAAGAAGCTTTTGGGTTGAGAATGTGGGGTTTTCTAGACACAAGGTTGTTGCACCTGCAAACAAAGATAATTTGACTTCCTCTCTTCCTATCTGAATACCATTTATTTCTTAATCTTGCCTGATTCACCTGGTCAGAACTTCCAATACTATGTTGAATAGGAGTGATGATACAAGGCATCCTTGCTTTTTGCTGGTTTTCAAGGGGAATGCTTCCAGCTTTTGCCCATTTAGAATGATACTGGCTGTGGGTTTGTCATATATTGCTCTTATTATTTTGAGGTAAGTTTCTTGAATACCTAATTTGTTGAGAGATTTTAACACGAAGGATGTTTAATTTTATCAACGGCCATTTCTGCATCTATTGAGATAATCGTGTGGTTTTTGTCTTTAGTTCTGTAAATGTGATAAATTTTATTTATCGATTTGTGTATGGTGAACCAACCTCGCATCCCAGGGATGAAACTTGATCGTTGTGGATAAGCTTTTTGATATGCTGCTGGATTTGGTTTGCCAGTATTTTACTTAGGATTTTTATATTGATGTTTATCAGAAATAATGGCCGGAAGTTTTCTTTTTTGTTGTATCTCTGCCAGGTTTTGATATCAGGATGATGCTGGCTTCATAAAATTAATTGGGGAGGAGTCTCTTCTTTTTAATTCTTTGGAATGGTTTCAGTAGAAATGGCACAAACTCTTCTTTGTACCTCTGGTACAATTCATTGGTGAATCTGCCTGGTCGTGAGCTCTTTTTCATTGGTAGGCTATTTATTACTGCCTCAATTTTAGAACACATTACTGGTCTATTCAGAGCCTGAATTTCTTCCTGGTTCAGTCTTGGGAGGGTGTGTATGTCCAGAAATTTATCCATTTCATCAGGATTTTCTAGTTCATGTGATGGTTGTTTTTATTTCTCTGGGGTCAGTGGTAATATCCCCCTTATCATTTCTGATTGTGCCTATTTGATTCTTCTCTGTTTTCTTATTAGCCTAGTTAGTGGTTTATTTTATTAATTTTTTCAAAAAAAAAACAGCTCTTGCATTCTTTGATTTTTTGAAAGTATTCTTATGATTCTATCTTTGTAAGTTCTATTCTGATCTTGGTTATTTCTTGTCTTCTGCTAGCTTTGGGTTTGTTTGCTCTTGGCTGTCTAGTTCTTTTATATGTGATGTTAGGTTGTTGATTTGACATATTTCTAGCTTTTTGATGTGGGCATTTAGTGCTTTATATATATTTTAACACTGCTTTAGCTGTGTCCCAGAGATTCTGGTATGCTGTCTCTTTGTTCCCATTAATTTCAAAGAACTTCTTGATTTCTGCCTTAATTTTATTATGAACTCAGGAGTCATTCAGAAGCATATTTTTCAATATCCATGTAGTTGTGTGGTTTTGAGTGAGTTTCTTTACTTTGAGTTCTCATTTGATGATTGTGCTGTGGTCTGAGAGATATTTTGCTATGATTTTGGGTTTTTAATTTACATTTTCTTAGGAGTGTTTTACTTCCAATTATGTGATCAATTTTAGAGTAAGTGCCATGTGGCGATAAAAAAAAATGTACATTCTGGTTTTTTTTGGTGGAAAGTTTTGTAGATGTCTATCAGGTTCCCTTGATTCAGAGCTAAGTTCAGGTCCTGAATATCTTTTTAAATTTTCTGTCTCTATGACCTGTCTAAAATTTTCAGTGGGGTGTTAAAGCCTCCCACTATTATTGTGTGGAAGTCTAACTCTTTTTGTAGGTATCTAAGAACTTGGTTTATGAATCTCGGTGCTCCTGTATTGGGCACATGTGTATTTAGGATAGTTAGCTTTTCTTGTTGCATTGAATCCTTTACCATTATCTAATGCCCATCTTTGTATTTTTTGATCTTTGTTGGTTTAAAATCTGCTTTGTAAGAAACTAGGATTGCAATTTTTTTTCTGTTTTCCATTTGCTTGGACATTTTCCTCCATTCTTTTATTTTGAGCCTATGTGTGTCTTTGCATATGAGATGTGTTTCTTCAAGACAACATCCAATGGGTCTTGAGTCTTTAACCAGCTTGCCATTCTGTGTCTTTTAATTGGGACATTTAGCCCACTTACATTTAAGGTTAGTGTTGTTATATGTGAATTTGATTTTGTCATCCTGATCCTAGCTTGTTAGTTTTCAGACTTCTTTATGTAGTTGCTTCATAGTGTCACTGGTCTGTGTATTTCAATGTGTTTTTGTAGTAGCTATTAACAATTTTTCTTTTCTATATTTCGTGCTTCCTCCAGGAGCTCTTGCAAGGCAGGCCTGGTGGTGATGAATTCCCTCAGCATTTGTATGTCTGAAAAAGACTTTATTTCTCTGTTTATGAGGCTTCGTTTGGCCAAATATGAAATTCTGGGTTGAAAATTCTTTTCTTTAAAAATGTTGAATTTTGTCCCCCAATCTCTTCTGGCTTGTATGGTTTCCACTGAGAGGTCTGCTGTTAGTCTGATGGACTTCGCTTTGTAGGTGACCTGGCCTTTCTCTTTGGCTGCCCTTAACATTTTTTTTTAATTTCAAACTTGGAGAATCTGATGATTATATATATATCTTATGGTTGATATTCTCCTGGAGTATCTTATTGGGATTCTCTGTATTTTATGGGGGAATTGCTCCAGAACCACTGGGCTTCCTGGAGCCAGGAGGCTAGAACGGCTGACTCAAACTGAAGAGATGGCCACTGTCCCTCCCCCTAGGAACTCGGTCTGTCTCAGGCAGTCTCCTGCCTGCTGCCACTGGCCACCTAGAATTCGAAGCCAGTGAGTCTTAACTTGTGGGATGCCATTGGGGTGCGGCCTGCAGAATGACGTTGCTTGGCTTCCTGGATTCAGCCCCCTTCCAAGGGGAATACATGGATGGATCTTCCATTTTGCTGGAAATTTCCAGGGCCACAGTATGCAAAACAACTCCTGGGTCTTCATGCAGTCCTAAGTGGCCACCCCACTGAGACTCCACACAGCTCTGTGCTTCTAACCCAAAGCCCTGTGGGTTACAAAGATCTGTGAGAAAAGCGTGGTTTTTCAGGCAGAGTTGCACAACCATTCACTGTCTCCCTTGGCTGAAAATGGAAGCTTCCCTGGCTCCATGCTGTTCCTGGCAGGGTGGGGGTGGGTGGGGTCCTTACACCCCCCCGCTTTTCCTAACTCTGTGGGTTGAACTGCCCATCTAGTCAGTTCCAATGAGAGAATCTGAATACCTCAGTTGAAGGTGCAAAATTCACTCAGTTTTCATTCTTCTCCGTGAGAGTCATGGACTGCAGCAGCCATCTTGGTTCAAACTCACCTGTGTTTTCATGTTTATTCACTTCCAAAAAGTTTTAAATTTCCATTTTAATTTTATTTTTTTCCAAAAGATCATGAAGCATGTTTTTCTGTTTTTGTGTATTTGTATATTTTTCAAAGTTTTGCTTGGAATTGATTTCTACTTTTATTCGTCTATGGTCTGAGAAAATACTTAATATTACTTGATTTTTCAAAAATGTATTAAGATTTGTTTTGTGACCTAACTTGTAGTCTGTCTTGGAATACCTTTCATGTGCTGGTGAGAACAATGTGTATTCTGCCGCTGTTGGTTAGAATGTTCTGTATATGTCTCTGAGGTCCATTTGGCCTAAAGTTCAAGTTAAGTCCAAGGATTCTTTTTTGGTTTTCTGACTTGATCTTTCTACTGCTATGAGTGAGGTCCTTACCTACACTACTCTTACTACATTTCTGTCTATCTCTTTCATTAGGTCTAGTAACATTTGTTTTATGAATCTGCATGCCCCATTGTTAAGTGCATATATATATATATATATATATATATATATATATATATATATATCGGATTGTTATATTGTCTTGCTGAATTAACCACCTTATTATTATGTAATGACCTGTTGGTTTTTTTTACCATTTTTTTATTTAAATTCTCTTTTATTTTATATAAGTTTAGCTACTCCTGCTCACTTATGATTTCCACTTGCATGAATTATCATTTTCAACTCTTTCATTTATATTTGTCTTTACATGTAATATGAATTTCTTGTTAGAAGTATATAATTGGATAATTATTAAAATTCATTCCACCCGTATATATTTTTAAGTGGGCATTTAATTTATTTGTGTTCATGGTTAATATTGATATGTGGGGTTTTGTTCCGGTTATATTGTTAGTATTATTTAGTTGTTTTGTGTATTTTTTGTTTGTTTGTTTGTTTCTTCTTTTGCTTTCTCTCTGTCTTTGTGGTTTGATGGAGTTCTGTCATGGTGCCATTTAATTTCTTTCTCTTTCTCCTTATAATTGTTTTATGAGACCCTTGAGTTTTATGCTCTGCGTGTTTTAGTATTGGTGAATATTGATCTTTCATTTCTATGCTTACAACTCCATTGAGCATTTCTTATAGGGCTGAATTAGTGGTGATAAATTTTCTCAGCATTTACTTGTCTGGGAGATACCTTATTTCTCCTTTACTTATAAAGTTTTTTTCTGTCATGAAACAGAATTCTTGCTTGGCACTGTTTTTTATTTACTGCTTTAAATATAAGGTCTCAACCTTTTCTGCCTTATATGGTTTCTGCTGAGAAGTCCACTGTTAGTCTGATGAGATTTGCTTTATAGGTGACTAGGCATTTTTGCCTCACCAATTTTAGGTTTTTTTTTTTTTAATTGCACATTGACATTACACAGTTTGATGACTGTGTAATGTCATGGTGAATTTCATCTTAAATTGTATTTTTTTCTGATTTTTGTTGGGCCTCCTGTTTCTGGATATCTAAGTCTCTTGCTAGAGTAAGAGAATTTTCATTAATTATTTACTTAAGTAGGTTTTCTAAACTTTATTTTTCTTCTCCATTAGGAATACTGATGATTTACACCTTTGGTCATTTTACGTAGTCCCATACTTCTTGAAGGCTTTGTTAATTTCTTTTAATTCTTTTTTCTTTATTTTTGTCTAACTGAATTAATTTAATTAATTAAGCTAGACCTTTCTTCCAGTTCTGATATTCTCCTTCTTCTTGGTACAGTCTATTATCGATGTTTTTCGTGTATTTTGTAATTCCACTATAATTTTTTATTTCCCAGAAGTTTCATTTTTTAAAAGATATCTAACTCATTGGTAAATTTCTCATTTACATCTGTCATTGATTTTATTTTATTTTTATTGACTTCAGTTTTCACTTGCATCTCATCGAGCTTTCTTAAAATTAAAATTTTGAACTATTTATTTGGAATTTTGAGGATTTTCTTTTTGGTTAGAATTTTTTTTCTGAAGAAATACTGTTTCTTTTGGTGGGTCATAATACTTGACTTTTCATATTTTTGGTATTACACTTATTTGTTCATACCTCAAAAAACAGTAACTTCTTATTTTTAAATTTACTTTTATTGGGGCAAGACATTTTATTTCATGAGGATATGACTATGCTGTTTATTGAATAGGGCATTTGGCTTTGCTTTTGGCTATATTTGAAGTAGTGAAGATACTGCATGATTTTATTGGTTATAAGTAAACTTAGTGTTACTTAAAGTCCATTTGTAGTAGAGGTATACTGTGTAGTTGAGCAGGCTCATAATCTCCTGAGTCACCAGGGTGGCATGGAACATTGATAGCAGAGGTAAACAGGAGGTAATCTTATTTCTGAAGTCAAATAATGTCATCTTTTCCCAGGTCTGGAAAATTTTTAGGCTTATTTATTTATTTTTACGTTTGCTTTGTAGTTCTTTGTCTCTCGCTTCTCCTGGAACTTCTACTATGCAATGTTTGTTTTCTTGATGGTGCTTCATTGTTGATGTAGTCCTTCTTCATTATTTCTTCTTTTTCCTTTTCTGATTAGATAACTTCAAATGTCATATCTTTAGTTCATTGACTCTTTGTTCTACTTGATCAAGTCTGATGTTAAAGCTTTCTATTTTTTTCTTCAATTATTGTATTCTTTATCTCTAGAATTTATATTTATTTCTTTTGTTTATTTAAGGTTTGGGGGTATATGTGAAGGTTTGTTACATAGGTAAACTCATGTCACGGGGGTTTGTTGTACAGGTTATTTCACCACACAGGAATTAATTGCAGTACCCAATAGTTATTTTTTCTGCTTCTCTCCCTCCTCCCACCCTCTATCCTCAAGTAGACTCCAGTGTATGTTGTTTCCTTATCGTGTTCATAAGTTATCATCATTTAGCTCCCACTTGTAAGTGAGAACAAGGAGCATTTGGTTTTCCGTTCCTGCATTAGTTTGCTGAGGATAATAGCCTTCAGCTCCATCCATGTTCCTACAAAAGACATAATCTTTTTCTTTGTATGGCTGTATAGTGTTCCATGGTGCATATGTACCACATTTTTTTAATCCATTCTGTCATTTATGGGCATTTAGGTTGAATCCATGTCTTCGCTATTGTGAATAGTGCTGCAATAAACATTGTGTGCATGTGCATTATGGTGGAATGATTTATATTTCTTTGAGTATGTACCAAGTAATGGGATTACTGGGTCAAATGGTAATTCTGGTTTTAGCTCTTTGAAAAATCATCATACTGCTTTTGACAATAATGGAAATAATTTAAACTCCTACCAACAGTGTATAAGTGTTCTCTTTTCTCAGCAACCTCATCATCATCTGTTATTTTTTGATTTTAAAGAATAACAGATTCTGACTTTTTTGAGATGGTTGCTAATGGTGGCTTTGATTTGCATTTCTCTAATAATCAGTAATACTGAGCTTTTTTTATTTTCATATGCTTGTTAGCCACATGTAATATTCTTTGAAGAAGTGTCTGCTCATGTCTTTGTCTGCTTTTTAATGGGATTATTTGTTTTTCTCTTGTAAATTTTTTTAAATCCCTGATAAATGCTTGAGATTAGACCTTTTTCAGATATGTAGTTTGAAAATATTTTCTTCTGTTCAGTATGTTGTTCATTTACTCTGTTGATAGTTTTTTTTTTTTGCTGTGCAGAAGCTGTTATATTTAATTGGATCCCACTAATTTTTGCTTCTTTAACAATTGTTTTTATTGTCTTTGTCATGAAATATTTGCACTTCTCTATGTCCAGGATGGTATTGCCTAGGTTATCTTTCAGGGTTTTATAGTTTTCGATTTTACATGTAAGTCTTTAATCCATCCTGAATTTATTTTTGTATATGGTGTAAGGAAGGGGTCCAGCTTCAGTCTCCTGGCTTATGGCCAGTCAGTTATTCCAGCACCATTTATTGAAAAGTAAGTCTTTCTCTATTTCTTGTTTTTGTTAGATTTGTCAGAGATCAGGTGGTTGTAGGTGTGTGGCCTCATTTCTGGGCTCTCTATTCTGTTCTATTGGTCTATGTACCGGTTTTTGTACCAGTACCATGCTGTTTTGGAAACTGTAGCCCTGTAGTATAATTTGAAGTTGGGTAACATGTTTATTCCAGCTTTATTATTTTTGCTTAGGATTCTGTTGGCTATTCAGGCTCTTTTTGGGTTTTACATTAATTTTTAAATAGTTTTTGTGCAGTTCTGTGAAGAATGTTATTGGTAGCTTGATAAAAGTAGCATTGAATCTGTAAATTGCTTTGGGTAATATGGCCATTTACATGTTATTGATTTTTTCTATCCATGAGCATGAGATGTTTTTTCATTCATCTGTGTCTTTTATGATTATTTTGAGCAGTGTTTTGTAATTCTCTTTGTAGAGACCTTTTTCCTTCCTGTATAGCTGTATTCCTAGACCAGGTGAAAACAACCAGGAAACAAGTCTATTGACTGTACTCAATCTACACGGCAGTTAAAGGAACACTGATAGAGATGAGAAAGAACCAATGCAAGAACTTCAGTAACTCAAATGGTCAAAGTGTTGTATATTCTCCAAATGACTTCACCAGTTCTCTAACAGGACTTCTTAACAAGGCTGGACTGGCTGAAATGACAGAAATAGAATTCAGAATACAGTTAGGAATGAAGATAATTGTGATTCAGGAGGATGGCAAAACCTAATCTAAGGAAAATATGAATCATGAAATAAGTGATACGGGAGCTAAAGGATGAAATAATCAGTATACAAAAGAACCTAATGGGTCTGACAGAGGTTAATAACACAATACCAGAATTTCACAATGCAATCTCAAATATCAATCCAGTGTCTTTTATTCCACTTTCTGCAGAATAAACCAAACTGAGGAAAGAATTTCAGAACTTGAAGACTGGTTCTCTGAAATAAGACAAAAACATTTTTAAAAGGGAATAAAAAAGAATCAATTAATCCTCCAAGAAGTATGAGATTATGTAAAGAGGCCAAATGTATGAATCATTGGCATCCTGAAAAGGAAGGAAAAAAAGCAAACTACTTGGAAAATATATTTCAGAATATCATCCATAAAAACTTCCCAAACCTTGATGGAGAGGCCAACAGTAAAATTCAGGAAAATACAGAGAACTCCTGCAAGTTTCTACACAAGAAGATCATCCTCAAGAAACACATAATCATTATATTTTCCAAGGTCAAAATGAAAAAAAGAATGTTAAAGGCAGCTAGAGAGAAAGGGAAGGTCACCTACAAAAGTCTAACAGTGGACCTCTCAGCTGACAGCCTACAAGCCAGAAGAGATTGGAGGCCTATATACAACATTCTTAAAAAAAAGCAGGGGCTTCATATCCAGCTGAACTAAGCTTTCTAAGAGAAGGGGGAATAAGATCCTTTTTAGATATGCAAATGCTGACAGAGTTCATTACCAGCAGACCTGCCTTACAGGAAATCTTGAAAGGAACACTAAATGTAGAAAGTAAAGACCACAACCAGGTAATATTTGTTTCTTTATTGTTTCTACTTCTTCGTCAAACTTTTAATTTTGTTCATGAATTGCTTTTCAAATGTTCTTTAATTTTGTATTTCTATTTTTTGAGGTGCACTAAACTTCTTCAAAAGGATTGTTCTAAATTCTTTGTCAGTCATTTTCTAGATTTTTAGTTCTTCTGGGTCCATTATTGAAGTATTATTATTTTCTTTTGGTGTAATCTTTTTTTCCTAATATTTCATCATTCTCGTGCCCTTATATTGATGCCTGAGCCTTTGAGTATATTGCCGTCTGCTCCAGCTATTGGAGCTATTCTTTGGTGATGGTAGACCTTACTATTTAGTCTATCCTGGAATTCTTAATGGGCTAGCTAATAATGACACAAGAGTAGGCCCTCTTGGAGCAGCCACAGCTCTGGGATTGGGGCATGTGTGGGGTTGGAAGAAGTGTTGACTCCTTTGAAAAATTAACTCAACAGTGGTCACAGTTTATGTGGAAATGGGGTGTGCCATGACTCCCTCTCTGGGGTTCTGCAGTGGGGATGCTAGTTGGTTACTTCAGTGGTAAAAGAACTGCTGTGCTCTGTGGAACAGGCAAATGGGGACAATAGTTATTCCTGCCCCGTGATTGATATGATAACCTCAACTTTTCTTCTTTATTTCTGGTGCACATATGGTGTCTCAGGTATATTAGTATCACCAGTGACACTTTCTATTTGGATTTTTTTTGCACTAATTTATTATGGTAGATTATTTATAAGCCCTTGAAATATTTCTAGGTTATTTTGGTTTGAAGATAGACACACACACACACACACACACACACGCACACACACGTATATATATATATAGTTGGTGGAGGGGATAAGGGCTGATATCAGCTTCTCCACCATCTTGAAGATAGACATATATATATATATATATATATATATACTGATATCAGCTTCTCCACCATCTTGTTGATGTCAAATCTAAGTACCACTTATTTATTGTAGCTTTTGAGGCATGTGTTTTTGGTGTCCTATCAAAGACTTTATTACCAAGACCAATGCCAAAGAGATGTTTTCCTATGTTTTTTAAAGGCACTTTAAGGTTTTGGAACTTGCAGTTAAGTGTTTTTAAATTTTTTATAGATGCAGCAGATACAAGTGCAGATTTGTTGCATGTATATATTGCATAGCAGAAAAGTCTCTGAAAGGGTACATTATATTAATTAATTTTTAATCTCTCACCCACTTCCAACTTTCCTGCCCTTCGGAGTCCCCAGTGTCTTTTATTCCACTTTCTGTGTTAATGTGTATACATTATTTAGCTCCTGCCTAGAAGTGAGAACTTGTGATATTTGACTTTCTGTTTATGGGTAATTTCACTTAAGATTATGATCACCACTATTATACATGTTGCTGTAAAACACACAACTTTGTTATTTTTATGGCAGAATAGTATTTTATTATATACCACATTTACTTTATCAAATCATCCATTGATGGACACTTAATCAGATTCCATATCTTTGTACTGTGACTAGTGCTGGGATAAACATACATGTGTAGGTATTTTTATTTATTTTTAAAAATTTTTAAATGAAGCAGACCTTGCACGCACTTTCCTTTCAGTTCTTATCTAGCTGAAAAAATGGTGTACACTGCTGCCTTGACTCTTCCCACTGCCCATTGTTAATCATTTCCATCCTTTTATTTTATTTACTTAATTTATTTTTTATATTTATTTTTATTTCAATAGTTTTGGGGAAACAGGTGGTGTTTGGTTGCATGGAAAAGTTCTTTAGTGGTAATTTCTGAGATTTTGGTGCATCCATCACACAAGCAGTGTACACTGTACCCAATGTGTAGTCTTTTATCCAGCACCCCCCTCCCACCCTTCCTGCTGAGTTCCCAGAGTCCATTTTATCATTCTTATGCCTTTGCATTCTCATAGCTTAGGTCCTGCTCATAAGTGAGAATATACGTTTGATTTGCCATTTCTGTGTTACTTCACTTAGAATAATGGTCTCCAACTCCATCTAGGTTGCTGCAAATACAATTATTTTGTTACTTTATATGAATGAGTAGTATCCCATGGTGTGTGTGTGTGTGTGTGTGTATGTGTGTGTGTATATAATATGTATATATATATGATATCTATCTATCTATCTATCTATCTATCTATCTATCTATCTATCTATCTACCTATATGTCACATTTTCTTTATCCACTCGTTGGTTGATGGGCATTTAGGCTGGTTCCACATTTTTGAATTGTGAATTGTGCTGCTATAAACATGCATGTGCAAGTGTCTTTTTCATATAATGACTTCTTTACCTTTGGGTTGACTCCCAGTACTGAAATTGTTGGATCAAACAGTAGTTCTACTTTTAGTACTTTAAGGAATCTCCATAATGTTTTCCATAGTGGTTGTACTAGTTTACATTCCCACCAGCAGTGTAAAAGTATTCCCTTTTCACCACATTCACACTAACATCTGTTATTTTTTTGATTTTTGAAATTATGGCCATTTTTTTGCAGGAGTATAGTAATATCTCATTGTGGTTTTAATTTTCATTTCGCTGATAATTAGTGATGTTGAGCATTTATTCATATGTTTGTCGGCCATTTGTATATCTGCTTTGGAGAAATGTCTATTCATGTCCTTTGCCCACTTTTTGATGGGATTTTTTTTCTTGCTGATTTGCTTGAGTTCTGCATAGATTCTGTATTATTAGTCCTTTGTAGAATTCATAGTTTGCAAAGATTTTTCCCCACTCTGTGGGTTGTCTGTTTACTCTGCTGATTATTTATTTTGCTGTGCTGAAGCTTTTTAGTTTAATTAGGTCCCATCTGTTTTGTTTTTGTTGCATTTGCTTTGGGGTTTTTGTCATAAACTCTTTGCCTAAGCCGATGTCTAGAAGAGTTTTTTTCAATGTTAACTTATAGAATTTTTATGGTTTTATGTCTTAGATTTAATTATTTGATCCATCTTGAGTTGATTTTTGTATAAGGTGAGAGATCAGTATCCAGCTTCATTCTTCTACATTTGGCTTGCCAATTTTCCCAGCACCATTTATTGTATAGGATGTCCTTTCTCCACTTTATGTTTTTGTTTGCTTTGTCGAAGGTCAGTTGGCTGTAAGTATTTGGTTTTATTTTTTGTTTCTCTTCTCTATTCTGTTCCATTGGCTTATATGCTTATTTCTATACTAGTACCATGCTCTCTTGGTAACTATAGCCTTGCAGTACAGTTTGAAGTTGAGTTATGTGATACCTGTAGATTTGTTTTTTTTAGCTTAGAATTGCTTTAAATATGGAGGCTCTTTATTTGTTCCATTTGAATTTTAGAATTTTTTTTTCTAGTGCTGTGAAGAATGATGATAGTGCTTTGATGGAAATTGCATTGAATTTGTAGATTGATTTTGGGAGTGCGGACATTTTCAGAATATTGATTCTACCCATCTATGAGCATGGGATGTGTTTCCAATTATTTGTTCCTTCTATGATCTTTTTCAGCACTTTTTTATAGTTTTCCTTGTAGAAATCTTGTACCTAATCTCCTTGGTTAGGTATATTTCCAAGTATTTTATTTTATTATTTTTTGCTGATGTTTTAAAAGGGATTGATTTTTTTTTTATTTAACTCTCAGCTTCTTTCTTGCTGGTGTATAACAGTGCTACTAAGTTGTGTATACTGATTTTGTATCTTGAGACTTCACTTTCTTTATTTATCTATCAGTTCTAGGAGAATTTGGATGAGTCTTTAAGCTTTTCTAGGTACACAATCATATCATCAGTGAACAGCAACAGTTTGAATTCCTCTTTAAAGATTTAGATGTCCTATATTTATTTTTCTTGTCTGATTCCTCTGGCAAGGACTTCCAGTACTATATTGAATTGAAGTGATAGTGGGCATCCTTGTTTTATTCCAGTCCTCAGGGGGAATGCTTTCAACTTTTCCCCATTCAGTATAATATTGGCTGAGTTTTTTATAGATGGCTTTTATTACCTTGAGTTATGTCTTTCTATGCTGATTTTGCTGGGGGTTTTAATCATAAAGGGATGCTAGCTTTTGTCAAATGCTTTTTCTGCATCTATTGAGATGATCATAAAATTTTTGTTTTTAATTCTGTTTATATGATATGTTACATTTTACTGATTTACACTCCCACAAACCGTGTAAAACTGTTTCAATCTGTCCACAGCCTCGCCGGTATCTGTTGTTACCTGACTTTTTAATAATCGCTATTCTAACTGGTGTGAGATGGTATCTCATTGTGGCTTTGACTTGAATTTCTCTAATGACCAGTGATGATGAACTTTTTTTCATATGTTTGTTGGCTGCATAAATGTCTTCTTTTGAGAAGTGTCTGTTCATATCCTTCGCCAACTTTTTGACAGGGTTGCTTGTTTTATTTTCTTGTAAATTTGGTTAAGTTCCTTGTAGATTGTGGATATTAGACCTTTGTCAGCTGGACAGATTGTGAAAATTTTCTTCCATTCTGTAGGTTGCCTGTTCACTCTGATGATAGTTTCTTTTGCTGTGCAGAAACTCTTCAGTTTGATTAGATCCCATTTGTCAATTTTGGCTTCTGTTGCAATTGCTTTCGGTGTTTTAGTTATAAAGTCATTGCCCATGCCTATGTCTTGAATGGTATTGCCTAGGTTTTCTATTAGCGTTTTTATGGTTTTTGGTTTTATGTTTAGGTCTTTAATCCATCTTGAGTTAATTTTTGTATAAGGTGTAAGGAAGGGGTCCAGATTCAGTTTTCTGCATATGGCTAGCCAGTTTTCAAGGCACCATTTACTAATTAGGGAATCCTGTCCCTGTTGCTTGTTTTTGTCATGTTTCTCAAATATCAGATGGTTGTGGATGTGTGGTGTTATTTCTGTGGCCTCTATTCTGTTCCATTGGTCTATATATCTGTTTTGTACCAGTAACATGCTACTTTTGTTACTATTGCCTTGTAGTATAATTTGAAGTCAGGTAGTGTGATGCCTCCAGCTTTGTCCTTTTTGCTTCAGATTGTCTTGGCTATACAGCTCCTTTTTGGTTCCATATGAAATGTGAAGTAGTTTTCTCTAGTTCTGTGAATAAAGTCAATGGTAGCTTGATGGGAATAGCATTGAATCTATAAATTACTTTGGGCAATATGGCCATTTTCATAATATTGATTCTTGCTATCCATGAGCATGGAATGTTTTTCCATTTGTTTGTGTCCTCTCTTATTTCCTGAGCAGTGCTTTGTAGTTCTCTTTGAAGAGGTCCTTCACGTCCCTTGTAAGTTGTATTCCTAAGTATTTTATTTTCTTTGGTGCAATTGTGAATGGGAGTTCACTCATGATTTGACTTTGTCTGTCTATTGTTGGTGTATAGGAATACTTGTGGTTTTTGCACATTGATTTTGTATCCTGAGATTTTGCTGAAGTTGCTTATCAGCTTAAGGAGATTTTGGGCTGAGATGATGGGGTTTTTTAAATATACAATCATGTCTTCTGCAAACAGAGACAATTTGACTTCCTCTCTTCCTATTTGAATACACTTTATTTCTTCTTCTTGCCTGATTGCCCTGACAGAACTTCCAATACTATGTTGAATAGGAGCGGTTAGAGAGGGCGTCCTTGTATTGTGCCGGTTTCCAAAGGAAGTGCTTCCAGGTTTTTCCCATTCAGTATGATATTGGCTGTGGGTTTGTCATAAATAGCTCTTATTATTTTGAGATATGTTCCATCAATACCTAGTTTATTGTTTTTAGCATAAAGTGGTGTTGAATTTTATCGAAGGTCTTTTCAGTATTTATTGAGATAATCATGTGGTTTTTGTCATTGGTTCTGTTTATGTGATGTATTATGTTTATTTATTTGTATATGTTCAACCAGCCTTGCATCCCAGGGATGAAGCCGACTTGTTCGTGGTGGATAAACTTTTTGATGTGCTGTTGTATTCAATTTCCAAGTATTTTATTGAGGATTTTTGCAATGATTTTCATCAGGGATATTGGCTTGAAATTTTTGTTGTTGTTGTGTCTCTGCCAGTTTTGATTTCTAGATGATGCTGGCCTCATGAAATGAGTTAGAAAGGAGTTCCTCTTTTGCTATTTTTTGGAGTACTTTCAGAAAGAACGGTATCAGCTCCTCTTTGTACCTCTGGTAGAATTCAGCTGTGAATCTATCTGGTCCTGGGCCTTTTTTGGTTGGTAGGCTATTAATTACTGGCTCAATTTCAGAACTTGTGATTGTGCTATTCAGGGATTCGATTTCATCCTGGTTTAGTCTTGGGAGAGTGTATGTGTCCAGGAGTTTACCCATTTCTTTTACATTTTCTAATTTATTTGCGTAGAGGTGTTTATCATATTCTCTGGTGGTAGTTTGTGTTTCTGTGGGATCAGTGGTAATATACCCTTTATCATTTTTTATTGTGTCTATTTGATTGTTCTCTCTCTTTTCTTCTTTTTTTAGTCTGGCTAGCAATCTATCTATTTTGTTAATCTTTTCAAAAAAACAGCTCCCGGATTCACTGATTTTTTGGAGGGATTTTTGTGTCTATATCTCTTTCAGTTCTGCTTTGATCTTATTTATTTTCTTCTGCTAGCTTTTGAATATGTTTGATCTTGCTTCTCTAGCTCTTTTAATTGTGATGTTAGGGTGTCGACTTTAGATCTTTCTACTTTCTCATGTGGGTACTTAGTGCTATAAATTTTCCTCTTAACACTGATTTTGTTGTATTCCAGATATTCTGTCTCTTTGTTCTCATTGGTTTCAAAGAACTTCTTTATCTCTGACTTAATTTCATTATTTACCCAGAGTCATTCAGGAGCAGGTTGTTCAGTTTCCATGTAGTTGTGCAGTTCTGAGTGAGTTTCTTAATCCTGAGTTCTAATTTGATTGCACTGTGGTCGGAGAGACTGTTATGATTTCCATTCTTTTGCATTTTGCTGAGGAGTGTTTTATCTCTAATTATGTGGTCGTTTTTAGAATAAGTGCTATGTGGTGCTGGGAAGAATATATATTCTGTTGATTTGGGGTGGAGAGTCCTGTAGATGTCTATTAGGTCTGCTTGGCCCAGAGTTCAGTTTAAGTCCTGAATATCCTTGTTAATTTTCTGTCTCATTGATCCATCTAATATTGAAAGTGGGGTGTTAAACTCTCCCACTATTATCTTGTGGGAGTCTAGGTCTCTTTGTAGGTCTCTAAGAACTTGCTTTGTGAATCTGGACACTCCTGTATTGGGCTCTTATATATTTAGGATACTTAGCTCTTCTTGTTGCATTGATCCCTTTACCATTATATAATGCCCTTCTTTGTCTCTTTTGATCTTTGTTGGTTTAAAATCTGTTTTATCAGAGACTAGGACTGCAACCCCTGCTTTTCTTTATTTCCATTTGCTTGGTAAATATTCCTCCATCCCTTTATTTTGAGCCTATGTGTGTCTTTGCCCATGAGATGTGTCTTTTGAATACAGCACACTGATGGGTCGTGACTCTTTATCAAATTTTCCAGTCTGTGTCTTCTAATTGGGGCATTTAGCCCATTTACATTTAAGGTTAATATTGTTTTGTGTGAATTTGATCCTGTCATCATGATGCTAGCTGGTTATTTTGCACATTAGTCGATGCAGTTTCTTTATAGTGTCATTGGTCTTTATATTTTGGTGTGTTTTTGCAGTGGCTGGTACCCTTTTATATATATATATGTATATATATATGTGTGTGTGTATATATATATGTATATATATATGTATATATACATGTATATATACATGTATATATACACACATATATATATACACACATATGTATACATATATATATATATATATATATATATATATATATATATATATAACTACATGGAAACTGAACAAGCTGCTCCTGAATGACTCTGGGTAAATAATGAAATTAAGTCAGAAATAAAGAAGTTCTTTGAAACCAATGAGAACAAAGTGACAGAATATCTGGGACACAACAAAATCAGTGTTAAGAGGAAAATTTATAGCACTAAATACCCACATCAGAAAGTAGGAAGATCTAAAGTCAACACCCTAACATCACAATTAAAAGAGCTAGAGAAGCAAGATCAAACATATTCAAAAGTTAGCAGAAGAAAATAAATGACTAAGATCAGAGCAGAACTGAAAGAGATATAGACACAAAAATCCCTCCAAAAAATCAGTGAATCCGGGAGCTGTTTTTTTGAAAAGATTAACAAAATAGATAGATTGCTAGCCAGACTAAAAAAAGAAGAAAAGAGAGAGAACAATCAAATAGACACAATAAAAAATGATAAAGGGTATGTTACCACTGATCCCACAGAAATACAAACTACCACCAGAGAATATGATAAACACCTCTACGCAAATAAATTAGAAAATCTAAAAGAAATGGATAAACTCCTGGACACATACACCCTCCCAAGACTAAACCAGGATGAAATCGAATCCCCGAATAGAACAATCACAAGTTCTGAAATTGAGCCAGTAATTAATAGCCTACCAATTAAAAAAGGCCCAGGACCAGATAGATTCACAGCTGAATTCTACCAGAGGTAGAAAATATATATGTATATATATGTGTATATATATGTGTGTATATGTATATGTGTGTGTGTGTATATATATATACACACATATATACACACATATATATACATATATACACACATATATACATATATACATATATACACATACATATATACACATATATACATATATACACACATATATATACATTTATACACACATATATATACACACACATATATATATACATATATATATTTAGTGCTTGTTCTTTGTCTTCATGGATTTATCTACCATTGATCTTTGATGCTGATGGCCTTTGGATGGGGTTTTTGTGTGGGAATCCTTTTTGTTGATGTTGATGTTATTGCTTTCTGTTTGTTAGTTTTCCTTCTAATAGTCAGGCCCCTCTTCTGCAGGTCTGTGGGAGTTTGCTGGAGGTCCACTCCAAACCCTGTTTGCCTGGGTATCACCAGCGGAGGCTGCAGAACTGCAAAGATTGCTGCCTGCTCCTTCCTCTAGAAGCTGCATCTCATTGGGGCGCCCACCTGATGCGAGCTGGAGGTCTCCTGTATGAGGTTTCTATCGACCCCTGATGGTGGTTGTCTCCAAGTCAGGAGTTTGCCTCCTTTTCAAAGGGATTATTTGTTTTTTGTTGCTGCCATTGTTGAGTTGTTTAAGTTCTTTGAAGATTCTTTGAGTTGGTAGTTTCAGATGCATAGTTTACAAATATTATCTCTAATTCTGTTGATTATTGATCACTCTGTTGATTATATCTTTGTCCGTGCAGCATCTTTTGTTTAATTAACTCTCATTTGTCCATTTCTGTTTTTGGTACTTGTGTTTTTTATGCATGAGTTGTAAATTATTTGCCTTCACTTATGTCAAAAGTAAATTTTCACATCTATTTGTAATAGCTTCAGGTGTTACATTTAAAACTTTGAGTTAATTTTTGTATATGGTCAGAGAGATGAGTCCAGTTTTATTCTTCTGCTTATAGCTAACCAATTCTCTTAGCATCATTTATTGAAACAAGTGTTCTTTCCTCAGTGTAGGTTTTGGTCTACTTTGCCAAAGATCAGTTGGCTAAAAATATGCGAATTCATTTCTGAGTTTTCTATTCTTTTCAAGTAAAATATGTGTGTATTTTTATACCAGTAACCTGCTGTTTTAGTTACTGTTGCCCTGTGGTGTATCATGAAGGAAATTTGATGCCTCCAAATTAGTTCTTTTGGGTTAGAATTCCTTTACTATTTTGTCTCCTTGTGGTTCCATATGAATTTTACTATTGTTGTGTGTAATTCAGAAAAAAATAACATTGGTATATTTTGATAGGAATTGGATTGAATCTGTATATTTCTTTCAGTAGTTTGATCATTTTGATAATATTGATACTTACAATCACTGAGCATGAGACACTTTTCATGTATGATTTATTTCATCAGTGTTTTGTAGTTTGGAGATCTTACACTTCCTTTGTTAATTGTATTCCTAGGGGTTTTTTCATAGCTATGGTATGTAGATATGTCTTCTTGATTTGGTACTGAGAAAGATTATTACTGGTTATAAAAATGCTACTAATTTTGTACAGAGTTTTGTATAATGAAACTCTTTTGAATTTATGAATAAAATCTAGGAGTCTTAAAATTTTCTACATATAACATCATAACATTAGCCAACCAAGAAAATTTGACTTTCTCATTTCCAATTTCAATCTTTTATCTTTCCTGATTGCTCTGGCTAGGACTTCCAGTACTATGTTACATAGGACTGATGAAATGGTACCTTGACTGGTTCCAGTTCTTAGCGGAAATGTTTTTTACTTTTTTCCCCATTTATTATAATGTTGGTTGTTAGTTCATTGTATATAGCCTTTATTATTTTGAGTTATGTTCCCTTTTAAAATTTTGTATTTCCATAGGTTTTGGGAAATACATGTCTTTAGTTTAATGAGTAAGATTTTTAGTGGTGATTTGTGAGATTTTGGTGCACCCATCACCCAAACAGTACATACTGCACCGAAGTTTTAGTCTTTTATCCCTTACCACCCCCCAACCCTTTTCCCTGAGTCCAGAAAGTCCATTGCATCATTCTTATGCCTTTGTATCCTCAAAGCTTAGCTCCCACTTATGAGTGAGAACATACGATGTTAAGTTTTTCATTCCTGAGTTACTTTGCTTAGAAGAATAGTCTCCTGTTCCATCCAGGTTGCCATGAATGCCATTAATTTGTTTCTTTTTATGGCTGAGTAGTGTTCCATCATATATACTACAGTTTATTTATCCACTCATTAATTAATGGGCATTTGGAATTGGGCTGGTTCCATATTTTTTTTTGCAATTAGGAATTGTGCAGCTACAAACATGTGTGTGCAAGTATATTTTTTGTATAATAACTTCTTTTCCTCTAGGTAGATACCCAGTAATGGAATTGCTGGCTCAAATGGTAGTTCTACTTTTAGTTATTTAAGGAATCTCCACACCGTTTTCTATAGTGTTAGCACTAGTTTACATTCCCACCAGCAGTGTAGAAGTGTTCCCTTTTTACCACATCCAGGCCAACATCTCTTATTTTTTTGATTTTTAGATTGTGGCCATTTTTGCAGGAGTAAAGTTGTATTACATTGTGGTTTTGATTTGCATTTCACTTATCATTAGTGATGTTGAGCACCTTTTCATATGTTTGATGGCCATTTGTATATCTTCTGTAGTGAATTGTTTATTCATGTCCTTAGCCCACTTTTTGATAGAATTGTTTTTTTTCTGCTAATTTGTTTGAATTTTTCGTAGATTCTAAATATTAGTCATTTGTCAAATGGATAGATTGTAAAGATTTTCTTCCACTCTTTGTTTTGTCAATTTACTCTGCTGACTGTTTCTGCTTTTGCTGTGCAGAAGCTCTTTAGTTTAATTAAGTTCCACATATTCATCTTTGGTTTTGTTGCATTTGCTTTTGGGTTCTTGATCATAAAGTCTTGGCCTAAGCCAATGTCTAGAAGGCTTTTTACAATGTTATCTTCTAGTCTTCTGGAATTTTTATAGTTCCAGTATTAGATTTAAGTCCTTGATTAATCTTGAGTTGATTTTTGCATAAGGTGAGAGATAATGATCCAGTTTTATTCCGTACATGTGGTTTGCCAATTATCTCAGCACCATTTGTTGAATAGAGTGTCCTTTCTCCACTTTATGTTTTTGTTTGCTTTGCTGAAGATCAGTCAGCTGTAAGTATTTGGGTTTACTACTGTGTTCTCTATTGTGTTCCATTGGTCTATGTGCCTATTTTTATACCAGTACCATGATGTTTTTGTGACTGTGGCCCTATAATATAGTTTTAAGTCAGGTAATGTAATGCTTCCAGATTTGTTCTTTTTGTTTAGTCTTGTTTTGGCTATGTGAGCTCTTTTTTGGTTCCATATTAATTTTAGAATTTTTTTTCTAGTTCTGTGAAGAATGATGCTGGTATTTTGGTGGAATTGCATCGAGTTTGTAAATTGCTTTTGGCAGTATGGTAATTTTCACATTTATTTTCATTTTCTATGATTTCTTTTAGCAGTGTTTTTTAGTTTGTCTTGTAGAGGTCTTTCACCTCCTTGTTTAGGTAAATTTTTAAGTTTTTTTTTTTTTGCAGCTATTGTAAAGGGAGCTGCGTTCTTGTTTTGATTCTCAACTTGGTTGCTCTTGGTAAATAACAGAGCTACTGATTTATGTATATTAATTTGTATCCTGAAACTTTGTTGAATTCATTTGTTAGTTGTAGAAGGTTTTTGAAGACATCTTTAGGGTTTTCTAGGTATACAATCATATCATCAGCAAACAGCAACAGTTTGGCTTCCTCTTTACAAATTTGGAGGCTCTTTATTTATCTCTTTTGACTGATTGATCTGGCTAGGACTTTCAGTAGTATGTTGAATAGAGGTGGTGAGAGTGGGCATCCTTGTCTTGTTCCAGTTTCCAGAAGGAATGCTTTCAGCTTTTCCCCATTCAGTATTATGTTGGCTGTGGGTTTGTTATAAATGGCTCTTATTATATTGAGGAATATCTCTTGCATGCCGATTTTGCTGAGGTTTTTAATCATAAAGGGATACTGGATTTTGTCAAATGCTTTTTCTGCATCTATTGAAATAATCATGTGGTTTTTGTCTTTAATTCTGTTTATGTGGTGTATTACATTTATTGACTTGTGTACGTTAAACTATCCCTGCATCCTTGGTATGAAACCCACTTGATCATGTTGTATTATCTTTTTGATATGCTGTTGGATTTGGTTAGCTAATATTTTGTTGAGGATTTTTGTGTTTATATTCATTAGGGATATTTTTCTGTATTTTTCTTTATTTTTGTTTATTTGTTGTTATGTCCTTTCCTGGTTTTGGTATTAGGGTGATACTGGTTTCATACAATGATTTAGTAAGTGTTCTCTCTTTCTCTATCTTGTGGGATAGTTTCAGTAGGATTGACACCGATTTGTCTTTGAATGTCTGATAGAATTTGGCTGTGAATTCATCTGGTCCTAGACTTTTTTTTGTTTGTAATTTTTTATTACCATTTCAATCTTGCTGCTTGTTATTGGTCTATTCAGGATTTCTATTTTTTTTCTGATTTAAGCTAGGAGGGTTATAATCTTTTCAGGAATTAAACCATCTCCTCTGTATTTTCCAGTTTATGCACATAAAGGTGTTCGTTGTAGCCTTTAATAATCTTTTGAATTTCTGTAATGTCTTTTACAATATCTCCCATTTTGTTTCTAATTAAGCTTATTTGGATCTTCTCTCTTCTATTCTTGGTTAGTCTTGTGAATGGTCTATTAATTTTATTTATCCTTTCAAAGAACCAGCTTTTCGTTTTATATATCTTTTGTATTTTTTTGTTTGTTTCCATTTCATTTAGTTGCGCTCTGATCTTGGTTATTTATTTTTTTCTGCTGAGTTTGGGTTTGTTTTTTTCTTGTTTCTCTAGTTCCTTGAGGTGTGACCTTAGATTGTCTGTGCTCTTTCAGACTTTTTGATGTAGGCATTTAGGCTATGAACTTTCCCCTTAGCGCTGCCTTTGCAGTGTCCCAGAAATATTGATAGATTGTGTCACTATTATTGTTCAGTTCAAAAAATGTTTAAATTTCCATCTTTATTTCATTGTTGACCCAGTGATCATTCAAGAGCAGGTTATTTAATTTCTAAGTATTTGCATGGTTTTGAAGGTGTTTTTGGAGTTGGTAAGTGAGAGAACCCTAGGACTCCACATTTCCATCATGGACTGTTACAATCCTAGCTATGGGAAGCCCCTAAACCTTTGTGTGCCTCAAGATTGGCATAGGGAGTTGCCTGGAGATTGTGCATAAGCAGCGCTTAAGCTCACATGAAGTCGCAGAGGCTTCTAGACCTTGAGCAGATGCAGCAGGGTCCCATTCTGAAAACTCATCCCTCAAAGCTCTGCATCCAACCCCAGGGCTGCCACTGCACTGCCACATGGCTGCAGTGGAGCAAGACCTAGAGCGTGAACACTCCAAGGCTCTTCATACTCTTCTAGGTGGCTTTAGACTTTGTTAGCTGTGGGAACTGGACAGACCAGGGAGGGGTAGGTGAGGCTTTTTGTTTCTACACAACTCAAAGCTGAATACTGCCACTTGTGCAAACTTCAGTAAGACCGAGGTATGAACAACATGCCCCACACTTGCCTGTTCACCCCTCAGCTACCTGCCTAGCTGCTCCTGCTGAGAAGGGCTGCCCTTCCTGGTGCCAGTCCCAGTGGGCAGCTGCTGCTGCCCCTGCCTAAAAATTATGCTGACAGCTTGGGGCCAGCCAAGTTTTCCCTATCACAATCAGTGCCTGAACCCAGTGGGTCTGAGGACAAGTCCACTGGCCTGATTCTGCACCCCAGGAATCATACACTCCATCCAGGAGCCTGGGGTTGAGATTTGCAGTCTAATTTCAAGTGAGAGAGAAGTTCCCATGGCCATAAATGAGAGGAAACTGGTGTGGGTTCATGCTGTGGTATAGGAGTTGGGCACCCCACCCTTCATGGAACTGTACCAGGAAGGATGTGTCCTGGGACCTACAGATTTTATCCTGGGCAGGGGATCTCATGGCCTGGGGCAATTTTGTGAAATAAAAACAGCCTTCTTGGGATTCAGAGTACTCTTTTGCCTTGTTCACAGAGGCTGGCTGCCAGTGGAAGACTTGCCAGATCAAGGGCATGTGAGCTGTTCCTGGCCCTGAACAGCTCCTGGGGAAGGGTTGAGTTAAATAGAAGTGAAGTGACCCACTCTCACCATGGACCTCTGCGATCCCAGCTGTGGGAGACTCCATGACACCCATGGACATCTGAACTGGAAAAGAGAACTGCTCAGAGAGTTGGCAGACACAGGACTTCAGCTTGCATGCAGCCCAGAATATTTGGCACATAAATGGCTGCAGTGGAGCAAGACCTGGAGTGCGAACCCTCCAACACTCTTCATACTCTTCTAGGTGGCTTTAGACTTTGTTAGCTGTGGGAACTGGACACAGCATAATTGTCTTGCCCATGGAACAGTGCAATTCTGACCCAAGCACCACCATATCTATTGGATAATCCCAGAGATCCTACCTGGCAACATTCACTTGCAGTACAGCCTCAGCTGGCCAGCCAAAGTGCTTTCCAGTGGCCAATTCCATAGCTCTTTCACCAACAGACCCCACTTACAGGTTGAAGCACATTAGCAGACAGACTCCCAACAGCAGCACCTGCCCACAGCCTTCCCCTACCTCCATGCACTTGCTTGCAACCTCTGCTTCTGCCTTAGTGGGGTGCACATGCATGTGGATACATTTCTGTCCCACTGGCACACACTCAAAGTGGTACCTGCTGCTGCAACACTGGAGCACTTTTTGCCAACAGCCACTGTTGGAGTACTGTTGACAGCAGACTAAAAAATTTTTGGCTCCTCAAGTGCAATCGGTGCTTAACCTCGAGGAACCAGAGAACAAAGCCATGGGCTTAATCTCAGTCCACTAGGGTTAGAGTATGCAGCTGTGAAATGCTGAGTTGAGCCTTGGTCCTGTGAAAGCATGTAGAGATAAAGCCAATCAACTAACTCAACTTGTACCACAGGGAAACCCTCAAAGGAATCAAAGGGTATAAAAGCAAAATGCCAAGTTCAAAAGACAGCTACCTCTAAGTTGAGAGGAACATCAGCTTACAGATGAGAAGGAACCAGTGCAAGAACTCTGGCAACTCTAAAGGCCGGAATGTCTTGTTACCTCCAAATTACCACAATAGCTCCCCAGCAATGGTTCTTAACCAGACTAAAATGTCTAAAAAGAAAGACATAGAATGCAAAATCTGAATGGCAAGGCAGCGCATTGGAATATAGGAAGAGGTTGAAAGCTAATCCAAGGAAAACAGTAAAATGGTCTAAGAGTTTAAAGGTGACATAGCCATTTTAAGAAACAATAAAACTAAACTTTTAGAATAAAAAATTATTACTACATTAATTTTAGAATGCAATTGGAAGGATTAATAACAGAATAAACCAAGCTGAGAAAAGAATCTCAGAACTCAAAGATGTTTTCTTTGAATCAACACAGGCAGACAAAAATAAAGAAAAGCAAAATTTTTAAGTGAATAACATGTTTGAGAAATATGAGATTGTGTAAATAAACCAAACCTAAGAAAGAGAGGGATAGAGAACAAGCAACTTGGAAAACATATTTGAGAGTATGGTTCATGAAAATTCTTTCAATGTTTTCAGAGAGATGACATGCAAATTTAGGAAATTCAGAGAACACCTGAGAGATACTATACAATATGGCTATACCCAAGGCAAACAGTCATTAGATACTCCAAAGTTAATGAGAAAAAATCTTAGAGACAGCTAGAAAGAAGGGTAAGTCACCTACAAAGGGAAACTCATCAGGCTAACAGTGAACCCTTCAGCAGAAAGTTTAGAAGCCAGAAGAGACTAAGACCTATATTCAGCATTCTTAAAGAAAACCCTCAACTAATAATTTTATATCCAGCCAAATTCAACTCCAGGAAGGAAGGAGAAATAAGATGATTTTCAGACAGACGAATGCTAAGATTTTTTTTTTTTACCACCAGACATACCTTACAATAGATCCTCAAGGGAGTGCTAAATACAGAAATGAAACACTGTTACCAGCCACCACAAAAGCACACTTAAATACATAGACCATTGACACTATCAAGAAACTACACAGGTCGGGCGCGGTGGCTCAAGCCTCTAATCCCAGCACTTTGGGAGGCCGGGGCAGGTGCATCACCTGAGGTAAGCAGTTCAAGACCAGCCTGACCAATATGATGAAACCCTGTCTCTACTAAAAATACAAAATTAGCCGGGTGTGGTCATATGTGCCTGTAATCCCAGCTACTCAGGAGGCTGAGACAGGAGAATCACTTGAACCTGGGAGGCAGAGGTTGCAGTGAGCTGAGATTGCGCCATTGCACTCCAGCCTGGGCAACAAGAGCAAAACTCCACACAAAAAAAAAAAACAAACAAAACAAACAAAAAAAAACAAAAAACGACACAAATCACAAATAAGTCTGCATAATAAACAGTTAGCAACACAATGAGAGGATCAAATCTGCACTTATCAATATTAATTTCCAATATCAGAGGGCTATCTGCCCAAAATAAAAGGCACAGAGTGGCAAGTTGGATTTAACTGTATACTGTCTTCAAGAGACCTATCTCAAATGCAAAGACACCCATAGGCTTAAAGTAAAGGAGTGGAGAAAAATCTACCAAGAAAACAGAAAACAAAAAAGTGAGGTTGCTATTCTATTTTCTGACAGAACAAACTTTAACCTACAATGATCAAAAAAGACAAAAAGTGGGCTGGGTGCTCACGCCTGTAATCCCAACATTTTGAGAGGCTGAGGTGGGCAGATAACCTGAGGTGGGCAGATAACCTGAGGTCAGGAGTTTGAGACCAGCCTGGCCAACATGGTGAAACCTCGTCTCTACTAAAAATATAAAAATTAGTTGGGCACGGTGGCAGGCGCCTGTCATCTCAGCTACTCGGGAGGCTGAGGCAAGAGAATTGCTTGAACCTGGGAGGCGGAGGTTGCAGTGACCCAAGATCACACAATTGCTCTCCAGCCTGGGTAACAAGAGTGAAACTCCATCTCAAAACAAAACAAAACCAAAAAGGGCATTGCATTACATAATGGTAAAGTGTTAAATTCAATGACAAGACTTAACTATTCTAAATATATTTGCACTCAACACAGGAGCAGCCAGATTCACAAAACAAGTTTTTAGAGACCTATGAAGAGATTTAGATAATCACACAATAGGAGTGGGAGACCCCAACACTCCATTGCCAATGTTAGACAGATTATCCACACAGAAATCTAACAAAGATATTCAGGACCTAAACATGACACTTGACTAAATGGGCCTAATAGAGGTCTACAGGATACTTCATCCAACAACAACAGAATATACAGTTTTCTCATGTGCACATGACACACTCTAAGATCAACCACATGCCTGGCCATAATGGAATTCTCAACAACAACAACAACAACAACAACAACAACACTAAAATTGTACCAACCACAGTGAAGGACCAGAGCACAATAAAAAAGAAGTTGATACAAAGGAGATCTCTCAAAAGCATACAATTAAATTGAAAGTGAACAATCTCCTCCTGAATGACTCTTGGGTAAAGAAGAAAATTAGCCGGGTGCGGTGGCTCACGCCTGTAATTCCAGCACTTTGGGAGGCCGAGGTGGGCAGATCATGAGGTCAGGAGTTCGAGACCAGCCTGGCCAACATGGTGAAATCCCATCTCTACTAAAAATACAAAAATATTAGCCAGGTATGGTGGTGCATGCCTGTAATCCCAGCTACTCAGGAACCTAAGGCAGGAGAATGGCTTGAACCCAGGAGGTGGAGGTTGCAGTGAGCCAAGATCACGCCATTGCACTCCAGCCTGGGCAATAGAGTGAGACTCTGTCAAACAAACAAACAAGAAAACAGAAAATTTAAGCAGACATCAAAAAGTCTTTGAAACGAATTAAAATAAAGATACAATGTACCAGAATTTTTATGACACAGCTAAAGCAATGTTAAGAGGAAAAATTTTAATGCTCAAGACCTACATAAAGAAGTTTGAAAGATATCAAATCTACAACATAACAAACTTCTTTTCACAAGATGGCTGACTATACAAAACCAGGGATAACATTTCTTACTGAGAGATCAGGACATCATGAAGACTGGCACTCTCCTAGCAGTTCTTCAGAGGGAATGCATAGAGAGCAGACAGAGAAAAACCACAGATGTGGAGCTGAAGGGGGAGAAAGCTAGGAACCCAGCACGGTGCTACTGCACAATTGGACTTGTTCTTGGCCTCCAGTGACTCTTATGGAAGGAATGAGCTGAAGAGGCAAGGAGCAACACACTCTTATGGGCCTCTAGAATCCCAGTAAGAGGAGACCTGTTGACCACTATGGATAATTGAGTTGGCAGGCAGAGCTGCTTAGAGAAGTGGTGGCAGCAAACTTCGGTCCATGTGAAGCCCAGAGGGTTTGATGGTGGAGCATCTATAGTGGAGCACGGCCAGGGATGCCCATAAACCCAGGCTTAACTGGCCTCCATAGGAGAGTTTAGCCCTAGAGCAACTGTCAGACCTGAACTCTGCATGGTAGTCTTGCCCATGAGACAGGCCCAGTCCAAGCTGAGAACCACTTGGCCTGTTGGCCTGTCCTGAGGCCCCAGCCTTGTTGCATCTGCTCACAGTGCAATCCCCAGGTACCTACCTTCTGGATCCTTGTATCATAGCTCTTGCGCAGGTTGACCACACCTGACTGGCAGAGTTCTCCAGCAGAGTGGCACACACACACCAGCCTGTTTTCACCCTTTCCTGACTGCAGCCTTCTCTTTGCTGCTTTGTCTGAATGCACTCACCCAAGGCCACCCCCAGCATCACTCTGCTGGCACATATGTGTGCGGGTGGACCTTGTCTTTTCTTTTCTGCCAGTGAGGGTGTGCACATGCACCCTGCTGTACCACTGCTGCTTGCATGAGTGCATCCCACCTCTCTCCCACTGCTATAACACCATTCCTGTACCACCATGGAGCCCACCAGCCCAAGCCCCACCAGCACCCACACCTGCATATACACTGTTACCAGCACAAAACTATGCATGGAAGAGAGTGAACCTGCCTCTGCATTGACCTGCCACTGCTGCCTGTGTGAACAGGCACAGAAGGCACACACAGTTCTGTGCTCACAAGTGTCTTGCCCCCATGCTAACATCACAACTGATGTGAACACAGATAGTCACTTGTGGAGGCCCCTTTCCCCCCTAGCTGAGTTGTCTCTGTCACTGCCATGAACACCCACAAAGAGATTGGTACCTCAACACCCAATAACACCCTGCTGCAGCTGACTTTGCCACTACTCCTGGCACATGTGAACAATGATGGATCCCACTGCCACTGCCCTATGAAGTGCATTGCATGGCACCACCCATTTAAGTGTTCTGACCAGTGATCCAAGAGCTCCTTAGCCCCTCCAGAACAGGAGGTTTCCAACCTTGAGGAGCCAGAGAACAAAGCCGGGGCCCAGTACCAGTCCCCCAGAGTTAGAGCTTGCAGCACAGTAGTCCTGAACTGAGGTGTAACCTCATAAAATCTTCCAGAAATGAAGCCAGTTGAATGGACCCAAATTATACTACAATGAAACCCCCAAGGACATCAAATAGGACAAAATGAAAAAAAAAATAACTCATCCAAAGGACAGCAATTTCAAAGATTAAAGGAACCTCAGCCCACAAAGATGTGAAGAACCAGTGCAAAAACTTTAGCAACCCAAAAATCCAGAGTGTCTTATTTCCTCCAAACAACCACAGTAGTTGTTTTAACCAGGCCAAGATGGCCTAAAGAAGTATAATTCGCAATGTGGATAGGAATGAAGATCATTGAGATTAGGGGAACATTGAAACCCAATGTAAAAATGATAAGAATCACAAGAAAATGATAAAGGAACTGACAGACAAAATAGCCAGTACAGAAAAAAGAGTAACCAAACTGATAGAGTTTGAAAACACACTACAAAAATTTCATAATGCAATTGCAAGTATTAATAGTAGAATAGACCAAGCAGAGGAAAGAATCTCAGAGCTTGAAGGCTGGCTTTCTAAAATAGTCAGATGAAAAATTTTAAAAAATGAATAGAAAATAACAACACTTCCAGGAAATATGGGCTTGTGTAAAAAGACAAAATCTATAAAACATTGGCATCTCTTAAAGAGATGAGGAGAATGGAAGCAACTTGGAAAACATATTTCAGACTATTACCCATGAGAACTTCCCCAACCTACTGAGAGATGCCAACATTAAAATTCAGGAAATGCAGAGAAACTCTGCAAAATACTTCACAAAAAGATCATCTCCAAGCCACATAATCATCAGGCTGTCCAAGGTCAAAATGAAAGAAAAAATGTTAAGGGCAGCTAGGGACAAAGGGTGGGTCACCTACAAATGGAAGTCCATCAAACTAACAGCAGCCTTCTCAGTAGAAACCCTACAAGCCAGAACAAACTGGGGGCCTATATTCGACATTCTTAAAGAAAATAAATTGCAAAGGAGAATTTCATATCTGGCCAAACTAAACCTCATAAACAAAGGAGAAATAAGATATTTTTCAGACAACCATATGTTGAGGGAATTTGTTACCCCCAGACCTTCCTTACAGGAGCTCATAAAAAAAGCACAAAATATGGAAGGAAAACAACACTAGCAGTCATTACAAAACCATACTTCAATACACAGACCAGTGACACCGTAAAACAACCATGCAATCAAGTCTGCATAAAAACCAGCTAATGGCAAAATGGCAGAATCAAGTCCACACATATGAATACTAACATTGTATTTAAATGGGCTAAATGCACCAATTGAAAGGCACAGAGTGGCAAGCTGAATAAATAAGAAAGACCCAAAGGTATACTGTCGTCAAGAGACCAATCTCATGTGCAATGACACTCATAGGCTCAAAACAGACGGATGGAGAAAAATCTACCAAACAAATGGCTATCAGAAAAAATGCAGGGATTGCAATACTAATTTCAGAAAAAAAACAGACTTTAAATGAACAAAGATCAAAATAGACAAAGAATGTCATTAGAAAATGGTAAAGTATTCAATTCGGCAAGAAGTCATAACTTTTCTAAATATATATGCACTCAACATAGGAGCACCGAGATTCATAAAGCAAGTTCTTAGAAACCTACAAAGAGTTTAGCATCCAACACAATACTAGGAGATTTCAACACTCCACTGACAGTATTAGACAGATCATCAAGTTTGAAAATAACGTTCAGGATGTAAAATCAAGATTGGGTTAAATGGATATGATAGAGCTCTACAGAATTCTCCAGCGAAAACCAGCAGAATACACATTCTTCTCATTGCCACATGGCACATACTCTAAAATTGACCATATATCCAACAAAAAAACGCTCAGCAAATAATTCAAAATAACTGAAATCATACCAACGACTTTCTCAGACTACAGAGCAATAAAAATAGAATTCAAGACTAAAAAATCCATGGAATCATACGTAAATTAGACAACTTACCCATAAGTGACTTCTGAGTAAATAATGAAACTAATGCAGGCAGAAATTAAGAAGTTTTTTGAAACTAGCGAGAACAAAAACACAACGTATCAGAATCTCCAGGAAAGGCAAAGGCATTGTTTAGAGAGAAAGTTATCACAGTAAATGCTGTCATCAAAAAGTTTAAAATATCGCAAATTAACAACCTAACATTATCACTGAAAACCTAGAGAAGCAAGAGAATATCAAATTGGAAGCTAACAGAAGATGAGAAATAAACAAAATCATTGCTGAGCTGAAATCGATTGATGCACAACATTCATGCAAACATTAATGAAACCAGAAGCTGTTCTTTTAAATATTAATAAGATAGGTAGACTGCTAGCTAGATTAATACAGAAGAAAAGAGTGAAGTTCCAAATAAACAAAATTAGAAATGACAAAGGGGACATTACCAGTGACCCTACAGAAATACTAATAACAATCAGATACTATTATGAAAACTTTTATGCAAATAAACTTGAGAATTTAGAAGAAATGAATAAATTCCTGGACACATACACCTTTTGAAGATGGAACCACAAAGAAATTGAATCCCTGAATAGACAAATAATGAGCTCTGAAATTCCATCTGTAATATGTAGCCTACCAATCAAAGCCCAGGACATGGTGGATTCATGTCAAATTCCACCATATTTACAAAAAAGAGCTGTTACTATTTCTATGGATACTATTCCAAAAATTCAAGAAAAAAGGACTTCTTTCTAACTCATTCTATGAGACCAGCATCCTCCTGAAGCCAAAACCTGGCAGGCACACACACACAAAATAAAAATTTAGGTCAATAACTTTGATAAACATTGATGCAAAAATCCTCAACACACTTCTAGCAAATCAAATCCAGAAGCACATAGAAAACCTTATTTACCAAACTAAAGTAGAGCTTTTTCCTGAGTGTCAAGTTTGGTTCAACATATGAAAATCAATAAATGTGGTTCATCACATAAACAGAACTAAAGACGAAAATTACATGATCATCTCATGTAGTTTTCAGAAAAAGTTTTTAATAAAATTCAACATCTCTTTATGTTTAAAATTCTCAATAAAGTAGTTATTGAAGGAACGCCCATTGAAATAATAGAAGCCATCTATGACAAACTCTCAGCCAACATCATCTTGAATGAACAAAAGTTGGAAGTATTCGTCTTGAAAACTGGCACACGACAGGGATGCCCTCTCTCACCGCTCCTATTTCACATATTATTGGAAGACCTGGCCAGAGGAATTAGGCAAGAGAAATAAATAAAGGAATCCAAATAGGAAGAGGGAAAGTCAAACTATCCTTGTTTGCAGATGACATAATTCTATATCTAGAAAACACCATAGTCCTGGTCCCAAAGCTCCTTTAGCTAGTAAACAACTTCAGCAAAGTTTCAGAATACAAAATCAGTGTACAGAAATTAATGGAATTCCTATACACCAAAAACAGCCAAGCAGACAGCAAAATAAGGAACACAATGTCATTCAAAATTGCCAAGAAAAGAATAAAATACCTAGAAATACACCTAATGAGGGAGGTAAAAGATCTCTACGATGAGAAATACAAAACACTGATTGAAGAAATCAGAGATGACACAAACAAATAGAAAAACATTCTATGCTCATGAATAGATAAATTAATTTTGATAAAATGGCCATATAGCCCAAACCAATTTACAGATCCAATGCTATTGCTATTAAACTATTAATGACATTATTTGCAGAATTAGAAAAGAAAAACTATTATAAAATGCATATGGTACCAAAAAAAAAGACCACAAATAGGCAAGGCAATCCTAGGCAAAAAGAATTAATTAGAAGACATCATGCTATCTGACTTCAAACTATACTACAGGGCTGCCCTAACAACAACAAAAAACCAGCCTGGTATTGGTACAAAAACAGATACATAGACCTATGGAACAGAATGTCCAGAAATAAGGCCACACACATACAACCATCTGAACTTCAATAAAGCTGACAAAAAAAAAATCAGTGGGGAAAAGACTCTTTACTCAATAAATGGTTCTGAGATAACTGCCTAGCCATATGCAAAAGATTGAAACTGGACCCCTTTATTACACCATGAAATACACAAATCAACTCACAATAAATTAAAGACTTACATGTACAACCCAAAGCTATAAAAACACCAGAAGACAACCTAGGCAGTATCATTATGAACATAAGAACTGGCAAAGATTTCATGATGAAGACACCAAAAGCAATTGCAACAAAAGAAAAAATGACAGATGTGATCTAATTAAACTTAAGAGCTTCTATACAGCAAAAGAAACTATTAACAGAGTGATGTGATCTAATTAAACTTAAGAGCTTCTACATAGCAAAAGAAACTATTAACAGAGTAAACAGACACCTACACAATGGGAGAATCTATTTGCAAACTGTGCATCTGATAAAAGACTGTTATCCAGCATCTATAGGGAACTTAAATTTACAAAAAAAAAAAAAAAAAAAAAAAAAAGACAAGCTACCCCATTAAAAGGTGAAGAAAAAACATGAACAGTAAATTTTCAAAGGAAGACATGCTTGTGGCCAGCAAGCATATAAAAAAGATCAATATTACTAATCATTAGAGAAATGCAAATTGAAACTCCAATGAGATACTATCTCACACCAGTCAAAATGGCTAATATTTAAAAGCTAAAAAACAAGAGATCCTGATGAGGTTGCACATAAAAGTAACATTTACACACTGTTGGGAGTGTAAATTAGTTCATCCATTGTGGAAAGCAGTGTGGTGATTCCTCAAAGAACTAAAAACAGAACTACCATTCAACCCAGCAATCCCATTACTGGATATATACCCCAAAGAATATAAATCATTCTGTTATGAAAACACATGTGTGTATATGTTTATTGTAGCATTATTCACAATAGTAAAGACATGGAATCAACTTAAATGTCCATCAATTTTAGACTGGCTAAAGAAAATGTGGTACATATATACCATGGAATACTATGCAACCATAAAAGAGATCATGTCCTTTGCAGAAACATGGATGGAGCTGATTGCCATTATTCTTAGCAAACTAATGCAGGAACAGAAAACCAAATACCACATGTTCACACTTATAAGTCAGAGTTTAATAATGAAAACTCATGGACACCAATAGGCAAAACAAAAACAAAAACAAAAAACAGACACTGAGACTTATCTGAGGGTGGAGGTTAGGAGGAAAGAGATGAGCAGAAAAAAATTATAGGGTACTAGGTTTAATACCTGGGTGATAGAATAATCTGTACAACAAATCTGCACATGTACACCTGAACCTAAAATAAAGGTTAAAATATCAACATAACAGCACACCTGTGGGAAGTAGAGAAAGAAGAGCAAACCAAACCCAAAGGTAGCAGAAGAGGAGAAATAACCAGAATCAGAGCTTAATAGAATGAAACTGAGATGTGAAAATCCATACCAACAATTAACAAAACCAAAGTTTGTTTATTTGAAAGAATAAATAAAATCAATAGACAACTCACTTTATTAATAAAGTCCAAGTAAACATGATCATAAATGAGAAATGTCATATTTCGCTGACCCCACAGATACACAAAAAACTCTTAGAGGCTATCAAAAACACCTCTATACACACAAACTAGAAAACCTAGAACAAATAGATAAACTCCTAAAAGCATACAACCTCCTAATATTGAACCAGGAAGAAATTAAAATTCTGAATAGACCAATGATGAGTTCTGTAATTGAATCAGTAATTAAATATTTAACAACCAGAAAAAGCCCTGGATCAGACAGATTCACAGATGAATTCTGTAAGACATATTAAGAAGAGCTAGTACCAATTCTACTACAACTATTCAAAAAAAAAATGACAAGAAGCTAGTCCTCCCTAACTCATTTTATGAGGCTTGCATCATCCTGATACCAAAATCTGGCAGAGACCCAATGACAAGGAAAACATCAGGCCAACATTCTTGATGAACATAGACACAAAAACCTCAACAAATTACTAGCATGAATCCAGAAGGGCAACAAAAAGCTAATACACCATGATCAAGTAGGCTTATATTCCTTAAATGCGAGGTTGGTTCAATCAATACATGTGATTTAACACCTAAACATAACTAAAAAACAAAACCACATGTTCATCTCAATATATGCAAAAAAGGGTTTTGATAAAATTCAACATCCCTTCATGTGAAAAACCCTCAACAAATTAGACATTGAAGAAACACACCTAAACATAGTAAGAGTCATCTATGAAAACCTCACAGTAAACATCAAGATAAATGGGAAAAAACTGGAAGCATTTTATTTGAGAACTGGAACAAGACAAGAATTCTCATTCTCACCACTCCCATTCAACATAGTACAGGAAGTCTTCAGCCAAGTCAATCTGGTAACAGAAAAAATAAATAAATAAAACGCATTCAAATAGGCACAATGAAAGCCAAACTATCTATTTTCACAGATAATATGATTAAATACCTAGAAAACCCCATAGTCTCTATCCAAAGGCCCCTAGAACTAAGAAACAACTTCCATAAAGTTTTACACTAAAATATCAGTTTACAGAAAACCACTAGAATTCGTATACACCAATGACGTCTAAACTGAGAGCCAAATCAGAATGCAATCTCATTCACTATAGCCATAAAAAGAATAAAATATCTAGGAATACAGCTAATTAGGGAGGTGAAACATCACAACAATGAGAATTACAAAACACTGCTGAAAAAAATAATAGATTTTACAAACAAATGGAAAACATTCAATGCTCATGGATAGGAGGAATCAACATTGTTAAAATGCCTATATTTCCCAAAGCAACTTACAGATTCAATAGTATTATTAGTAAACTGCCAAGGTAATTATTTACAGAATGGGGAAAAATTATTCTACAATTCATATGAATTCAAAAAAGAGCCCAAATAGCCAAAGAAATCCCAAGCAAAAAGAACAAAGGCAGAGGCTTTACACTGCCTGACTTCAAACAAGTAGAAGGCTGCAGTAACCAAACAGCATGGTACTGGTACAAAAACAGACACATAGGCCAATCGATCAGAATAGAGAGCATGTAAACAAAGCTGCACACCTACAACCATGTGATCTGTTAGTAAGCTGACAAAAAGAAGCAATAAGGAAGGAAACCCTATTCAGTCAATGGTGCTGAAATAACTAGCTAGCCATAAGCAGAAGATCGAAACTGAATCCCTTCCTTTCACTATAAAGAAAAAAACTCAAAATTGATGAAAGACCTAAATGTAAGATCTAAAATTTTGAAAACCCTACAAGAAAACCTAGGAAATATCATTGTGAACATAGGCCTTGGTAAAGATTCCATGATCAATTCACCAAAAGCAATTCCAACAGAAAGGAACATTTACAAGAGGGATCTAATTAAACCAAAGAAGTTCTGCACAAAAGAAGAAATTATTAGCAAAGTACACAGACAACCTTCAGAATAAAATAAAATATTTGCAAACCATGCATCTTACAAAGCCTAATGTCCAGAATTTACAAGGAACTTTAACAAAACTTCAAGCAAAAAACAACTGCATTAAAAATGAGCAAAGGATATGAACAGATAATTCTCAAAGGAAGACTTACACAGTCAACAAGTATATGAAAAAATGTACAACATCACTAATCGTTAAAGAGATGGAAATAAAAACTGCAATGAGGTATCATCTCACATCAATTAGAATGGCTAATACTGAAGGGTCAAAAAAATAACAGATGTTTGTGAGGCTGTAGAGAAAAAGGAGCACTTATACACTATTAGTGGGAAGGCAAATTAGTTTAGCCACTATAGAAAGCAGCTTGGAGATTTAAAAAAAAAAAAAAAAGAAAGAAAGAAAAACAAACAAACAAAAAAAACCTTAAAACAGAATTACCATTTAATCCAGCATTCTCTTTATTTGGTATATACCCAAAGGAATATAAGTCATTCTACCCAAAAGGTATATGCACTCATATGTTCCATTAACAATAGTATTCACACCAGTATTCACAATAGTGAAGACATGGATTCAACCTAGTTTGCCCACCAATGGTATACTGGATAAATGATATGTGGTATACATACACCATGGAATGCTACAGAGCCATAAAACGGAATGAAATCATGTTCCTTTCTCAAACATGGAGCTGAAGGCCATTATCTTAAGCAAATTTATGCAGGAACAGAAAACCAAATACTGCACGCTCACTTGTAAGTGTGAGCTAAATATTGAGTACACATGGAGACAAAGAGAGGAACAATAGACACCATGGCCTACTTGAGGGTCAAGAGTTGGCAAAGGGTGTGGGTCAAGAAACTTCATATTGACTACCATGTTCATTACTGGGTGATGAAATCATTTTAACACCAAACCCCAGGGACAAGCAATTGACCCATGTAACATACTTGCACATATATCCCCTGAACTTATAATACAAGTTGAAAGAAAAAAATTGTAAAAATTAAAACATGAATAAAATAATAAATTAAAATAAAATAAGAGTTCATAAGTAAGTCAGTAGCCATCTGAGGAACATCCACTTTGAGCAGGCTCTGAGTCATGAAGTTATAAATGAACATCTGTTGCCTACTTAATAGGTCATTGAGTAGCTGTGACCCATTCTTAATTTGTATGTAAGCATATTTTTTACATATTTGTATCTACTTCATTTTCCCTTGAAGCTTGCCAAATTGGTACACTTCAGTTTGAACTGATGTCTCTTATATGCTGTACCACCTTCTTAAAAATTGAATTATCTTTCCTTCCACCTAGATTGTTCTCAAAGCATTTGTTTTTGCTGGACTTTCCACTCTTGACCATAAGATGGTAGCATTCCCTAAGATATTGCAGCACAGTCTAATTCCACTGTTGTCATCTACAGTTAAATCGCAAATAAAAAATAATAATAAGCAGCAACTGATTGCTCAAGTTGTTTCTTAGCCCCTACTTTACTAAATCAGGAAAGTTCGAAGATTCTGGATTTATTTAAACTAGAACACTTTCTGAAACCACTCACAATTCAGATTTAAACATTAAGTAAAGTCTGAGTTTTTCCTTGATGAAAAGACTCATTCCCTCCCCCCTCCAAACTGCTCCCTAATAGACATAATTAAATGTGTTTATATTAGGATTCAGTCCTCTTTTGTAATATATAAGCTAAACTAGTGATTGACTGTGTGTGTTTAATTTGATCAATGATCCAAAGTGAGTTAATGTCTTGTTCCAAGATTGTAATGAGAGCAGATAATGTAATTTTTTCACAAAAGTGAGTTAATGTCTAGTTCCAAGATTGGGATGAGAGCAGATAATGTAACTTTTTACAAATATACTAAAAATAATAAAAAGTCATTAAACATATATATTAACTTCTCTCATTTCCAGGGGAGGCATGAAATGCCATGGATAAATATAGTATATTAATCACCCAGTATTTGCTTAGAATCTACTCCTTATTCAAAAACAATTTCTTTATTTCAGGGGTAGAAATATTTATATTTATTATGATAATGTACTTACATTAAAAATAATGTATTGATTTGCATTTTTCTAATGATCGATGATGTTGAGCTTTCTCTTATATGATTGTTGGCTGCATGTGTGTCTTCTTCTGAAATGTGTCTGTTTATGTCCTTTGCCCACTTTTTTATGGTTATTTTTTTTTCTTGTAAACTTGCTTATGTTCCTTATAGATGCTGGATATGAGACCTTTGCCAGATGAATAGTTTGCAAAAATTTTATCTGATTCTATAGGTTGCTTGGTCACTCTGTTGACAGTTTCCTTTGCTATGCAGAAGCTCTTTAGTTTTATTATATTCCATTTGTCAATTGTTGCTTTTCTTGTAATTGCTTTTGGCATCTTCATCATGAAATCTTTGCTTATTTCTATGTCTAGAATGATATTGCCTCGGTTGTCATCCAGAGTTTTCATAAATTTGGATTTCATATTTATGTATTTAATCTATCTTGAGTTAATTTTTGTATATGGTGTAAGGAAGGTCTCCAGTTCTATCTTCTGTATATGGCTAGCCAGTTATCCCAGCACCATTTATTGAATAGGGAATATATTCCCCATTGTTTGCTTTTGTCAGGTTTGTCAAAGATCATATAGTTATAGCTGCGTGGCTTTATTTCTGGGTTCTCTGTTTTGTTCCATTGGTCTAGGTGTCTGCTTTTGTGCCAGTACCATGCTATTTTCGTTACTGTAGCCCTGCAGTATAGTTTGAAGTTAGGTACCGTGATGCCTCCAGCTTGGTACTTTTTGCTTAGGATTGCTTAGGATATTCGGACTCTTTTTTGGTTTCATATGAATTTTAAAATAGCTTCTTCTAGTTCTGTGAATAGTGTCAATGGTGGTTTAATGGGAATAGCATTGAATCTATTAAAACACTTTGAGCAGTATGGCAATTTTAACAATATTGATTCTTCTTATCCATGAGTATGTAATGTTTTTCCATTTGTTTTTGTCATCTCTGATTTATTTGAGCAGTATTTTGTAGTTCTTCTTGTAAGTATCTTTCAAATCCCGGTTAGCTGTATTCCTAAGTATTTTGTTTTTTTTTTTTGTGGAAATTGTGAAAGGGATTGCCTTTCTGATTTGGCTTTCAGCTTAACTGTTGTTGCATAGGAATATCAGTAACTTTTGCACATTGATTTTGGATTCTGAGACTTTGCTGAGGTTGTTCATCAGTTTGAGAAGCTTTTGAGATGATCCATCTCACACTAATGGCTATTAATAAAAAGCCAAAAATAACAGATGCTGGTGATGTTGTAGAGAAAAAGGGACACTTATACACTGTTTGTGGAAGTGTAAATTAGTTCACCCATTGTGAAAGACAGTGTGGCAGTTCCTCAAAGACCTAAAAAGAGAAATATCATTCGACCCAGTAATCCCATTACTGGGTATATACCCAAAAGAATATAAATTGTTCTATTATAGAAACACATGCATGTGTATGCTCATTGCAACAGTATTCACAACAGCAAAGACATGGAATCAACCTAAATATGCATTAATGATAAACTGGATAAAGAAAATGTGGTACATATACACCATGGATTACTATACAGCCATATAAAAGGAGATTATATTATTTGCAGGAACATGGATGGAGCTGGAGGCCATTATTCTTAGCTAACTAACAAAGGAAGAGAACACCAAATACTGCATGTTCTCACTTATAAGTGGGAGCTAGATAATGAGAACACATGGACACATAGAGGGAAACAACACACTGGGGCCTATCAGAGGGTGGAGGGTGGGAGAAGCGGGAAGATTAGGAAAAATAACTAATGGGAACCAGGCTTAATACATCAGTGACAAAATAATCTGTACAACAATCCCCCATGACACAAGTTTACCTATCTAACGAACCTGCACATGTACCCCTGAATTTAAAAGTTAAATAAAATAATAGCGTATATTTATGGCAAATAGAAACAGACAATGTATAAAAGAGAAAATGTAAACCTTCTTTTCTCAAATCTTATTCTCCAGACATATTCACTATTAATACTTGGCGTGTAGCCTGAGTAATAAAACTATACATGTAGATTTGCTCTTTAAAAGTTTAAAATCACATACACTATTATGTGCCTATATGCAGTATATCTGTTTGTATATAGAATATATACTTTTGCAAATTACAGCTTTATTTATAAAGTGAAATATTATTTGTGTCTTAATTATAGCTAAATAGTGTATCACTGAAAACATAATGAGAAAAAAATACATATACCTAGCTTACTAAATTTGCAGGTCCTCATCCCAGCATTAATCCCATCTTTAAAATTATTTACTACTGTCTTTTGCTTTTGGTCTTTATATTAGTCCATTCTCACAATGCTATAAAAATACCTGAGACTGGGTAATTTATAAATAAAAGAGGCTTAATTGGCTCATGGTTCCACAGGCTGTACAGGTAGCATGGCTGGGAAGGCCTCAGGAAACTTTCAATCATAGTGGAAGGCAAAGGGGAAGCTGGCACATCCTATATGGCCAGAGCAGGAGGAAAACAGAGAACAGGGTGAAGTGCCATGCACTTTTAGACAACCACATCTCATGAGAACTCACTCACTATCACAAGAACAGCAAGGAGAAAATCTGCCTCCATGATCCAGTCACATTTCCACCAGGCCCCTTCTCCAACATCGAGGATTACAATTCCACATGAGATTTGAGCAGGGACACAAATCCAAACCATATCAGTCTCTTCAGTGTTTGACTCTAGTTTCCCTAAATTGTGTTAGCTTTCTCATTCCTCTTGCTCTTCCCACTCTGGACTTCCCTAGGTAGGTGAGGCCCTGATCCAATCAGCTACGTTAGAATCTTAATATTTATTCTCTTACTTGGCTAATATCTTGGTCATGATAGCCATAGCGTATTATGAAAAAGGAAGTTAGTCACTCTGGTGAACCAATAATTGTAAGAGTCTCTGTGAAAAGCAGAGGAGAAAGGAGAACGTATCATAAATGGATGTATGCATTTCTGCTCAATTAGCATAAATAATGGTGAAACTCATCACCATTACCTAGAAGTATACCTTGCCTTATTCTTCTATGCTATTTATGAGAAGTTTGGGAGTAAATAAACAAAAACTATTCGTGTAAGTGCAGCTGCAATTCTTTATAGACAATCATGTTTATTTCCATTTGCCAAGTGTCTTGAGAAAGTACATTTTTTGTCCAGTTGAGGAAAATGGTAGGTCTGTCTTCTCAGCAACCCAGTAGCTCTAGACAGGCTATTATGTTTTCTTGTTACCATTGGACGTTATTATAGGAGCTGATATGGTTTGTTTCTGTGTCCCCACCCAAATCTCATTTTCAATTGTAATCCTCAAGTGTTTAGGGAGGGACCTGTAATGCCCATGTGTCCAGGGAGGGAGGTGATAGGATCATGGGGGAAGTTTTCCCCACGCTGTTCTTATGAAAATGAGTGAGTTCTCACAAGATCTGATGGTTTAAAAGTGGCAGTTTCCTCTGCACTATCACTCTCTCTCCTGCCACCTTGTGAAGAAGGTGCTTGCCTCCCCTTCACCTTCCCCCATGATTGAAAGCTCCCTGAGGTCTCCACAGCCATGTGGAACTGTGAGACAATTCAACCTCTTTTGTTTATAAATTACCCAGTCTCAGGTAGTATATTTATAGCAGCGTGAAAACAAACTAATACAGGAGCATTGAAATTTTTCTGAAAAAAGAGTGACGTAGTTTAGTTTCTGTTTTATAAAGATAGCTTTGGCAGCAGTATAGCATATGAATTAGAGGAAATCAATACTGGATGCAGGAAACTGTTGTAATAGTTTATGAAGGGGAAGCTGAAGACCTATACTAGGGCAGTGATGGTAAGAATAGAGAGGATAGAATGTATATCAGAGACATCATGAAGTTAAGATCAACAGAGGAGTGACATCACCATTTATGTTCTTGATCAAACAAAAATCTAGATATCATCTTTGTATCTCCCTTTGCTTAATCACGACATTCTGTCAATAAATATTTCCTCAATCCTGTCTTCTAAACAAAATTTCAAATCCATAAATTTTTGATTTCACTTCATGATTCATAAATTCTTTTGGGAGCATTTTAAATAAACCCATCTAAGTGAAAAGGGTATACCAATTACAGCTATCCTTTTACTCTGCCAGAAATAGGCACCGTTCTCCTGCCAAGTCATAATTCCAAGATCTGTCAGAAAATGACATACAATGACTACATTTAGCATTTATGGCTATAAACTCCAAAAGCACAGAGATCAGATTTTTTCTTTCATTGTATCCGCAGAAAGTGATAAATACACCATAAATATTTTACAAAGGAATAAATAGATGGGTAGAAAAGTCATATTGCAGGAGAAGCCACTTTTTAATGTGGATTACTGGTCAGTGAAATCTGAGATCTGAAGTTAGATAAAACTTCAGTTCCAATGTAACCAACATATTTTCTGACTATAATCAGTAAAATCTGGGAGTATTCAAGATAGATTATGGATGATTAGGTAAGTTTATAGGGAGCAGACCTAGTTACCAAATTGGCCCATCCTGTTAGATACACAGGTAGGCCTAATGAAACAGCAACTTTATTCTTCTTGGGGGCCCTTCTTCAGAAGGTCATTTCCATAGAATTCTGTCAGGAGCTGGACTTGCCTATTCAAAAAAAAAAAAGTGATATAATTCACATGCCATAAAAATCACATTTTAAACGTCTAAAACTCATCAATGTTCATCAGGAATATTGACCTGAAATTTTCTTTAATTTTTGTGTCTCTGCCAGGTTTTGGTATCAGGATGATGCTGGTCTCATAAAATGAATTAGGGTGGAGTTCCTCTTTTTCTTTTGTTTGCAATAGTTTCAGAAGGAATGGGAATAGCTCTTCTTTGTACCTCTGGTAGAATTTGGCTGTGAATCCGTCTGCTCCTGGGATTTTTTTTTGGTTGGTAGGCTATTAATTACTGCCTCACTTTCAGAACTTGTTATTGGTCTATTCAGGGATTCGACTCCAGAAGCACATCAAAAAGCTTATTCAACACGATAAAGTCGGCTTCATCCCTGGGATGCAAGACTGGTCAATTTATGCAAATCAATAAATGTAATCCATCACATAACCAGAACCAATGACAAAAACCACATGATTATCTCAGTAGATACAGAAAAGGCCTTCTATAAAGTTTAACATCCCTTCATGCTAAAAACTCTCAATAAACTAGGTATTAATGAAACATATCTCAAAATAATAAGAGCTATGTATGACAAACCCCTAGCCAGTATCATACTGAATGGGCAAAAGCTGGAAGCTTTCCCTTGGAAAACTGGCACAACACAAGGATACTCTCTCTCACCACTCCTATTCACCACAGTGTTAAAAGTTCTCATCAGGGCAATCAGGCAAGAAAAAGAAATAAAGGGTATTAAAATAGGAAGAGAGGAAGTCAAATTGCTCTGTTTGCAGAGGACATGATTGTGTATTTAGAAAACTCCATTGTCTTAGCCCAAAAACTCCTTAAGCTGATAAGCAACTTCAGCAAAGTCTCAGGATACAAAATCAATGTGCAAAAATCACAAGCATTTCTATACACCAACAATAGACAAGCAGAGAGCCAAATTATGAGTGAACTCCCATTCACAATTGCTACAAAGAGAATATAATACCTAGGAATACAACTTACAAGGGACGAGAAGGACCTCTTCAAGGAGAACTACAAACCACTGCTCAAGGAAATGAGAGAGGATACAAACAAATAGAAAAAAATTCTATGCTCGTGGATAGGAAGAATCAGTATCATGAAAATGGCCATACTGCCCAAAGTAATTTATAGATTTAATGCTATTCCCATCAATCTACCATTGACTTTCTTCACAGTATTAGAAAAAACTACTTTACATTTCATATGAAACCCAAAAAAGCGCATATAGCCAAGACAATCCTAAGCAAAAAGAACAAAGCTGGGGGCATCATGCTACCTGACTTCAAACTATACTACAACACTACAGTAACCAAAACAGCATGGTACTGCTACCGAAACAGATATATAGACCAATGGAACATCACAGAGACCTCAGAAATAACACCACATATCTACAACAATCTGATCTAAGACAAACCTGACAAAAAAAGCAATGGGGAAAGGGTTTCCTATTTAATAAATGGTGTTGGGAAAACTGGCTAGCCATATGCAGAAAACTGAATTTGGACCCCTTCCTCACACCTTAAACAAAAATTAACTCAAGGTGGATTAAAGACTTAAATGTAAAACCCAAAACAATAAAAACCCTAGAAGAAAACCTAGAGAATACAATTCAGGACACAGGCATAGGCAAAGACTTCATGACTAAAAAAACAAAAGTAACTGCAACAAAAGCCAAAATTGACAAATGGGATCTAATGAAACTAAAGAGCACAGCAAAAGAAACTACCATCAGAGTGAACAGGCAACCTACAGAATGGGAGAAAACTTTTGCAACCTACCCATCTGACAAATGTCTAATATCCAGAATCTACAAGGAGCTTAGACAAATTTAAAATTTACAGGGAAAAAAAAACAACTTCCTCAAAAAGTGGGCGAAAAATATGAAAAGACACTTCATGAGAGAAGACATTTATGTGGCCAAAAAACATATGAAGAAAAGCTCATCATCACAGGTCATTAGAGAAATTCAAATCAAAACCACAATGAGATACCATCTCATGTCAGTTAGAATGGTGATTATTAAAAAGTCTGGAAATAACACATGCTGGTGAGGCTGTGGAGAAATATAAATGCTTTTATAGTGTTGGTGGGAGTGTAAATTAGTTCACCCATCGTGGAAGACAGTATGGCAATTCCTCAAGGATCTAGAACCAGAAATTCCATTTGATCCAGCAATCCCGTTGCTGAGTATGTACCCAAAAGATTATAAATCATTCTACTATAAAGACATATGCACATGTATGTTTATTGCAGCACTATTTACAATAGCAAAGACTGGAACCAACCTAACTTCCCATCAATGATAGACTGGATAAAGAAAATGTGGCACATATACACCATGGAATACTATGCAGCCATAAAAAATAATGAGTTTATGTCCTTTGCATGGACATGGATGAAGCCGGAAACCATCATTCTCTGCAAAGTAATGTAGGAACAGAAAACTAAACACTGCATGTTCTCACTCACAAGTGGGAGTTGAACAATGAGAACACATGGACACAGGGAGGGGATCATCACACACCAGGGCCTGTTAGGGGGTTGAGGGAAAGGGGAGGGAGAGCATTAGGACAAATACCTGATGCATGCGGGACTAAAAACCTAGATGACAGGTTGATAGGTGCAGCAAACCACCATGGCACATGTCTACCTATGTAACAAATCTGCACGTTCTGCACATGCCTCCCAGAACTTAAAAGTAAACTGAAAATATAAAAAAAGTGGAAACAGGAAAAAAAAAAGTATAAAGCTCAGTGATAATTTGGTCTATTCACAGAGTTTGTGAGCATTAACCCTATATAATTCTAGAATGTTTGAATCTCCCTCTCAAAAAATCTTTACTCATTAACATTAATCCCCAATACTTTCTACCTTCTACTGTGGCGATGACAGTCTACTTTCTGTCTCTATGAATTTTCCAATTCTAAATTTTTATGTAAATATAATCATACAATAGGATGCTTTATGTATGTGATTAATTTTATGTGTCAATTTGAGGGGACCTTGGTGTGCCCAGACTAAACATTGTTTCTGTTTGTGTCTGTGAGGTTATTTCTGAACAAGGTTAGCATTTGAGTTGATGAACTCAGTAAAGCAGTTTGCTTTTCTCATGTGGGTTGGCATCATCTCATCTGTTGAGGGCCTGAATAGAACAAAAGGCAAAAGTAAGAAAGAATTTACCTCCCTTATTTTCTGCCTAACTGAACTGGAATATCTTATCTTCTGCACTCAGGATAGGGTTTACACTATCAATTCCCCTGGTTTTCAGGCATTTGGATCCAGACTAAATTACATTGTGAACATTCCTGTGTATCTAGCTTGCAGATGCTAGACTGAGGGACTTTTCATCCTTGATAATTACATGACACAATTCCTCATGATAAATATATGTCTTAATCCTTTGTTTCAAGATGGCTGCCTAGAGATGCCAAATGCCAGTTCTCAGAAAGAACCACAAAGTTGCAGGTGAATAATTACACCTTGAATAGAATATCAAGGGAAAGGTGTGAAAAACACATGAGAAGAAGCCAGGGTACAGAAAAAGAAGAAAACAGAGATTGGCAGAAATCAGCTAGTAGCCTCAAGGGACTTGGTATTTTGTCGAAAGGGTAGGTGAGTGTGTTTTTTGCTCCCTTTACACCTGCAGCAGACCACCAGTATCTGGACTGTAACAGAGCTCCTCTGCCCTCCCAAATTTGGGCACTGGTGTCTATGGTAATTTGGGAACTTCCTGAGGGCATTACACAGGACTACCAGATTACAAAACAATCATTCATTCTCCCAGCAGACCTGAGCTGCAGTGGTTGGTGCCATACTTGTGGTGCACCTATTGTGGGACAGTGTCCTGCCTGGGGAACATCAGTCCTTGTGTTTTCACATCATCGCAGCCCCTGCAGACATTCCTCAAGACTTTCTTGGGTTGCAGCAACCCCAGTGGTTGGCTGGACCCAGAGGAGCTTCAAGGTACTCAGTAGTCTAGCCCTTGGGGAGTGCTGATCCTACGGGAATGAATAGTGCAGTTCACCAAGTGGGCACCCTCTAGGAAAAAGGAGATCAGAGCATATAGATTGCTGTGCCCAAGAGTACCCCTCTAGCTGATTGAGAGTGATTGCACCACTCTCAGCAGAGACCTGGGAACTATACTCTGCTTCACAAGAGAGGAGCATGGTTTCATCTCAGCAGCCAGGTGGCCTCAGTGCTCAGGCATGGACATACATAGAAAGAGGGACTTCACCTCCCCCAACACTGCCACAGACACAGCTGTGGTTGCTTCTGCAGGAGGTTGGCATAGACAGAACAGAGGATGGCTATAATAAGGCTATTAGGGGCAGCTGTGTCCACATTGGCAGTGTATCCACTAGGCCAGATCTTGCATGAAAAGTGTAGCTCTATCCCTCTCTTTTTTGAGCAGCAATGTTCCTGCAGTGGAGAACAGAAGAGCCACAAAGCTGTTTGTTTTAGGCTGAGGAAGGATGTTCCATGTCAAAGACATTATGTTGATGAGCTGTGGAGCAGGCATCTTTCATGGCTCTTGGATACACTGCAGCCTGGAGATAGACAATGGTGTCTGTCCAATCTGAGTGTCCTGAATGCTGGGACGGGGCATAATAGGGAAGCATATTGCTTTCCAGCCTGCCCAAGGAGTGGTGCTGTTGCAGCTGCCTCCATCAGCTGTGGAGACCTAGGTGCATTTCACCAGGAGATCCTTGCACTACCCCCATAACAGCAGGTGCTTTTGCTTACAATTTAGGTATCCAAGGGCGGACTTGGCAGTGCAACTCCACCCAGATTTATGTGCCCCTCAGGAGGTGAGCAGGGAGCTCACACCACTTTGCATTTCACAAATCAGCCTATAGCATAAAGCAACAGAGAGCTTCTACTGGTAAACAAAGATCAAGCACATACACATTTGCTTCTGCCACAACTGGGTCTTACCTGTAACCCCTACCTACTGGCCTGGAGGTTGAACTACATATCCCAACAAAAAATCTGCTGACACAAATACACAGTACTGGGGAATGAGATAAGCTTCCTGAGACTTCTAACCATCCTGGCCTTGCAGGAGACTGTGGGGCTGCTCCTATACTTGGTGTATTGCTACTAAAAGCAGCTATTGAGAAAGCCACCAAATATATGCTATCTTTAATCAAGAAACTCAGAGAGAGTTTTTGCCTCTGAAAAGACCCAGAACCAGAGCCGGATGACCCTGTGCAAAGTATGTTAGAGTCACATTCTCAAGGAGAAAAAAACAAGACCAAATGCAAGTAAATTCAACAATAATAAGAAGAGATAGTTGATCAAGGTGAGGATAAATAAGTTAAGCCATTCTGGAAGTACAGAAACCAGTGTTAAAACACTGACAAAGAATCACACTGTCTGTAACAATGGATTCTAGCCATAATAAAATCTTTGAAATACCAAATAAAGAATTTGAGACATTGAATATTAAGAAGCCCCAAACCAACACAAACAAATAAAAAAATCAGAATTTAAATGGAAAATTTACTGAGATAGATATTTATTTAAAAAATAACACTTCTGGAAATAAAAAAGATTAAAGGAATTACAAAATACAGGTGCAAGTCTTAACAACAGATCAAGTGAAAGAATCTTGGCGCACTTGAAGACAGGTTTTTCAAATTAACTGAAACAAAAATGAAGGGAAAAAAATCAAGAACCTCAGAGAACTTGAGTAAGATACATTGCAAGATGGACTTACTGCAAGAGAAAATTGTCTAATTACAAATAAAGGAAATCCCACTAGATTAACAGCACATTTTGCATCAGAAAACTTACAATCCAGAAAAGATTGAGGTATCTTTTTAGACTTTGTAAAAAGCCAACCATGAATTTTGTATCCTACTATAACCTTACAAATGAAAAAATAAAATAAAATGAAATATTTTCCAGACATACAAATGCTAAGGGAATTTAAAAGCACTACACTGGTCCTACAAGAAGTGCTCAAGGGACTTCTAAACATGGAACTGAAAAGTCTATATTAACCATCATCAAAACACATAAAAGTATAAAACTCACAGATCTTATAAAACAATTATACAATTAAGGCTACAAAGTAACTAGGTAACAGTTAACATCATGACAGGAACCAAACCTTACATGTCAATGTGAACTTAGAACACAAATTAAATCAATACCCAACTTAAAAGATATAAACTAACAGAATGGACTAAAAAATAGGATTCAACCATATTCTCTTTACAAAAAAAAAATACATCTAACTGGTAAAGATGTTCATAGATGCGTGGTAAAGTGGTGAAAAACATAACAATACAAAAGAGAGCAGGAGTAGCTACACTTTCATCTGATAAAACAGACTTTATATCAACAACAGTAAAAAAAGACAAGGTTATTATATAATGATAAATTAATCCATTCAACAAGAAAATATAAAAATCCTAAATATACGTGTACCCAACACTGGAGCACTCAGATTCATAGAAGTACTAGTGGACCTAGGAAAAGATATAGACATCAATACACTAATAGTGGGGGACTTCAACAGCCCACTGACACACTAGAAAAACAGAGGCAGAATATCAACAAAGAAATACTAGATTAAATTGGACTCCAGATCAATTTAATTTAACTTAATTTAATCTAACAAATTTACAGAACATCCTATTAAACAAATGCAGAATATAATTCTCATTAGTGCATGGAACATTTTGCAAAATAGACCATATGATACTCCCAAAAAATAGTGACAATAAATTCTGAAAAATCAAAATCACATCGAGTGTCTTCTTGCACTATGGTGGAATAAAACTAGAAGTAAATACCAAGAGAAAGTCTTAAAACTATAAAATACATGACAGTAAACCTTACCATGAATGATCTTTGTGTCCATATGAAATTAAGATGGAAATTAAAAAGTGTTTTGAAAAGCATAAAAATAGACACAACATACCAAAACCTCTGAAATACACCAAAAACAGTGCTAACAGGGAGAGTTTATAGCATTAAATTCCTACATTAAAAGGAGAGAAAAACCAGAAATTATAACTCTAACATTGCACTCCAAAGAACTGGAAAAAGAAAATCAAACCAAACCCAAAGCTAGTAAAAGAAAAGAAATCACAAACAGCAGAAATGAAATAAAGAAAAATTGATATAAAAATACAATACATAATATAAATAGACAAAAATTCGCTTCATTAAAAAATACAAAATTGATAAAACACTAGACTAATGAAAATACAGAAGAGAGAATATACAAATAAACATAAAAAGGAGACATGACAACTGATTACACAGAAATACAAAAGATCATTAGAGACTACTATGAAATTCTCTGCACTCACAAACAAGAAAACAAAGAAAACGAATAAATTCCTGAAAACATACAACCTGCTAAGATTAAATTAGGAATACATAGAAACGCTGAAAAGGCCAATAATGAATAGTGACTAGTGAGATTTAATAAGTAATAAAAAATCACCCAACAACATACTCCCAGGCTTTTCTTTGTTGGGAGATTTTTTATTACTGATTCAATCCCACTACTCATGAGTACATGTATTCACATGTTTTCATGTACTTGGGAATATATGAATTCTTCCAGACATGCAAAGAACTTGTACCAATCCTACTGAAACTTTTCCAAAAAATTGAGGAGGAGGACATCATCCCTCACTCATTATATGAAGCCAATATCACCTTGGTACCAAAACCAGTAAAGGACACAACTAAAAAGAAAATTAAAGATCAATATCCCTGATGAGGATAGTTGCAAAAATTATCAACAAGGTCTAGCAAACCAAATCCAAAAACCTGTTGAAAACATAAAATACCATGATCTCATGGATTTTATTCCAGGCATGTGAGGATGGTTCAACATTCATAAGTCAATAAATAATTTACCACATAAACAGCACTGAAAAAAAAATGTGTGGTCATCTCAATTGATGCAGAAAAGCATCAGATATAATTTAACATTCTTTCATAATAAATACCCAAAACAAGTCAGCATAGAATGAACATACCTGATAAGAATAAAATCAATATATGAAAACTCACAGCCAACATTATACTGAATGGAGAATAGTTGAAAGCATTTCCACTAAGAATTGGAACAAGAAAAGGCTATCCACTTTCACCACTCCTATGCAACATAGTACTGGAAGTCCTAGCCAGAACTATTTGACAAGAGAAAGAAAAAAAAAATGCATCTAAATGGAAAGAAAATGAAAGATTTGTTTTGGCTGATATGATCTTAGAAAACTCTAAAGAATCCTCACAAGACTCCTGAATTTGATAAATGAATTAAGTAAAGTCTCAGATACAAAATCAACATACAAAATTAGTAGCATTTCTATACACCAATAACTACCAGGCTGAGATTCAAATCAAGGAATCAGTCCCATTTACAACAGCTGCAAAAAATCGAAAACACCTCACAGTACAATTAATGTAAGAGGTAAAACATCTCTAAAAGAAAAACTATAAAAAACCAAACAAAGAAATAATACATCATATAAACAGAGAGGAAAACATCTCATGCTCATGGATTAGAAGAATCAATATGGTTAAAATGACCAAGCTGCCGAAAGTAATGTACAGATTCAATGCAATTGCTATCAAAATACCAGTGTCATTTTTTACAAAATCAGAAAAGAATTATTCTCAAATTTATAGGGAACCAAAAAAGAGCTGATATAGCCGAATCAGTATTAAGCAAAAAGAACAAAGCCAGAGGCATCACATTATTTGACTTCAAATTATATCACAAGCGTATAGTAATCAAAACAGCATGCGGCTGGGTGCGGTGGCTCACACCTGTTATCCCAGCACTTTGGGAGGCCGAGGCGGGCGGATCACGAGGTCAGGAGATTGAGACCATCCTGGTTAACATGGTGAAACCCCGTCTCTACTAAAAATACAAAAAAATTACCCGGGCGTGGGGGCAGGCGCCTGTAGTCCTAGCTACTCGGAGGCTGAGGCAGGAGAATGGTGTGAACCCGGGAGGCAGAGCTTGCAGTGAGCTGAGATCATGCCACTGCACTCCAGCCTGGGCGACAGAGTGAGACTCTGTCTCCAAAAAAAAAAAAAAAAAAAAAAAAAAAAAGCAACACCACCACACCACCAAAAAAACCCTGCATGCTACTGATATAAAAATAGATACATAGATCACTGGAACAGAATAGAGACCTCAGAAATAATGCCTCACACCTTCCCTTAACGTATCTTTGACAAAGTAGGCAAAAACAATGGAGAAAGGATACCCTATTTAATATATGGTGTTTGAAAAGTTGGATAGTCATAGGCAAAAGAATAAAAGTGGATCTCTATCTCTCATCATATACAAAATTAAACTCAAAATGGAATAATGACTTAAATGTAAGATCTGAAACTAAAATTTCTTGAAGAAAACCTAGAAAAAACTCTTCCCAACACTGGCCTAGGACAAGAATTTATGGCTGAGATCTCAAAAGCAAATGCAATGAAAACAAAAGTAGAGAAATGAGACTTCATTAAACTGAAAAGCTTCTGCACAGCGAAATAAATAATCAACCAAATAAAGAGTCAACCTACAGAATGAAAGAGAATATTTGCAAATTATGCATCTGAGAACAAACTTTCCTGTTTTCATGGAACTAATTAGTAATTATTTTCTTGCAGAAAAATAGCTTCTTTTGTCATTTCCTATAAGGCAGGACTGGTGGTGATAAAATCCTTTAGCTGTTTTTTTGTTTTGTTTTGTTTTGTTTTTGTCTGAAAAATTCTTTATTTCTCCCTCATTTCTGTAAAACAGCTTTGCCGTTCAAAGTATTCTTGGTTTACAGTCTTGTTTTGCTTTTAGCACATTCTTACAATTTCTTGGCCTACAAGGTTTCTGCAGAGAAATCCTCCAATAGTCATATTGGTGCTCCCTTAATATTTGATATGCTTATATTCTCTTGGTGCTTTCAGAATTCTTATCTGTCTCTGGATTTTGATAGCTTCATTATAATATGTCTTAGTGAACTCTTCTTTGGGTTAAATTTTATTGGAGAATTCTGAGCTTCCTATACCTAGATATTTACATCATGTCCCAGATTTGGGAAGTTTTCAGCTATTATTCCTTTAAATAAGCTTTCTGGTACAAATTATCTCTCTTCTCCTCATGTAAATACAGTTAGCTCTCTATATTTGCAGGTGCTACATCAACATATTCAACCAATCATGGACAAAAAATATTTAAAAAAAGGAAAAATAACAATACATCAATAAAAAATAAAAAAATACAGTACAGCAAGTGTTTGTATGACATTTACATAGTGTTAGGTATTGTAAGTATTCTAAAGATGATTTAAAGTATATGGGACAATGTGCTCAGGTTATAGGCAAATACTATAATATCTTATATAAGAGACTTAAGCATCCATAGGATTCAGTATCTCTGAGGCATTCTGAAGCCAATTTCACATGGATATCAAGGGGAAAAACATATTATTATTGGAATGTTTGCTCTCTTGATGGTGTGCCATAAACCCTGTAGATTTTCTTCAATTCTTTTTATTTTATCCTCTGACTAAATGATTTCAAATGACATTTCCTTGAGTTTGTTTATTATTTCTTCTGCTAAATCTAGTCTTCTGTTAAAGCTGTCTATTGCAATTTTAATTCAGCCATTTTCTCCTTCAGCCCCCAAATTTCTGCTTTTTAAAAAATATTAATATTTGTAATCTCTTTGTTTAGTTTCTCATTTTGTTTTTGTATTGATTTCCTGATTTTATTAAGTTTTTTATACATGTTCTCTTGTAACTTGCTGAGTTTCTTTAAAACAATCTTTTAAGTGGGTCCTCTGCACTTTCAGATTTATTTTTCTTCATGAATAGTTGCCACATTGTTTATCTTTGTTGAGGAAAGAAAGACTATCTCATAGCCCACCACCATGCACTGATAGTTTCCATCTCTTTGTCGGTTATTGTAATTTTGGCTTTTGCATTCTTTATATGATTTTATTTAGATTTCTCTCATCTGACAAAGGGCTAATATCCAGAATCTACAATGAACTCAAATTTACAAGAAAAAAACAACCCCATCAAAAAGTGGGCAAAGGACATGAACAGACACTTCTCAAAAGAAGACATTTATGCAGCCAAAAAACACATGAAAAAATGCTCACCATCACTGGCCATCAGAGAAATGCAAATCAAAACCACAATGAGATACCATCTCACACCAGTTAGAATGGCGATCATTAAAAAGTCAGGAAACAACAGGTGCTGGAGAGGATGTGGAGAAATAGGAACACTTTTACACTGTTGGTGGGACTGTAAACTAGTTCAACCATTGTGGAAGTCAGTGTGGCGATTCCTCAGGGATCTAGAGCTAGAAATACCATTTGACCCAGCCATCCCATTACTGGGTATATACCCAAAGGACTATAAATCATGCTGCTATAAAGACACATGCACACGTATGTTTATTGTGGCTCTATTCACAATAGCAAAGACTTGGAACCAACCCAAATGTCCAACAATGATAGACTGGATTAAGAAAATGTGGCACATATACACCATGGAATACTATGCAGCCATAAAAACTGATGAGTTCATGTCCTTTGTAGGGACATGGATGAAATTGGAAATCATCATTCTCAGTAAACTATTGCAAGGACAAAAAACCAAACCCCGCATGTTCTCACTCATAGGTGGGAATTGAACAATGAGAACACATGGACACAGGAAGGGGAACATCACACTCTGGGGACTGTTGTGGGGTGGGGGGAGGGGGGAGGGATAGCATTAGGAGATATACCTAATGCTAAATGACGAGTTAATAGGTGCAGCACACCAGCATGACACATGTATACATATGTAACTAACCTGCACATTGTGCACATGTACCCTAAAACTTAAAGTATAATAATAATAAAATTAAAAAAATACAGCCTACATATAATGTATATTAACTCAAAAAAAATGTTTTCTTTTACCTTGTCAAGCATCTTTAACACAGTTATTTTACATCTATTGTGAGGTAGCTCATAGAGCTGCATTTCTTTAGGTAGGTTTCTTGAGTTTTATTTTGTTCCTTTCATTGATCCATGTTTTCCTGTTTTTTGTTTTTTGTTTTTTTTTTTTTTTTTTGTATACCTTATAATCTTTTGTTGAGATTTGGGCATTAGAAAACCACCATCTCTCCCAGTATTTAAAGTATAGCTTTGTACAGGGGACAACATTCGCTAATCAGCCTGTTAGAGGTTCTATGAACTCTCAAATATTTTCTGAAAATGTGTCATTTTTGGGCTTGTGCATGTGATTTTAACAGACTCAAATTTCCTGAACTGTCTGCCCTTGCTTCTTCTGGTGTAATCTCTTGCTCCCTCTGGTGTTTGCCTGAGGAGCTGCAGTCCTAACCTGCTGGGTGCGCAACTGTTTTCAATGACTCCCAAACTAGGTCTCCAATCTATTCAGTACTGTGTCAGGCAAAATAAAAAGCAATCACTCTAGTAATCCCTAGACAAACCAGAACATTGGATACATGGTCCACTCTTTTGTTTTCATCCTGAAAGATGGGCCCTAGTATGGGAGATTTCCTTCCAGTTGTAAAGTTTTCTACCCCTTTCACTAAAATTTCTTGTTAGTTTTGTGTCAACTTGTGTGCCTTAGCTTTTCAGCTGTTTTCTAGAATTCTCAAAAAGGTATTCTTGTCTACATTTAGTTGTTATCCTGGTGCCTCTGTGGGGGGAATAAAGACCTGGAGCTACTTAGTCTGTCATCTTGCTGATCAGGCAACTGTTTTTGACAAAGGTGCAAAGGAACCTCAGATGAATACCTTTTTTACATACAAATAGTGATTCTGGAATATTTGTATGAAAAATATAAACCTTGACCGTCACCTTATAGCATATACAAAAATTAACTTGAAATAAATCATAGTTATAAATGTAAACTTAAACCATAAAACTTCTAAAATATAACAGAAAAAGTTTTTCTTATCTTGAATTATGCAAAGGATTTTCATATATGACACCAATAGCATTATCTGTTAGAAGATACAATGACAAATTGGGCATTATCAAAATTAAAAATGACTTCTCTTTGAAAGACATTGTTGATAGAATAAAAAGAGAAGCCATATATGGAGATAAAGTGTTTGCAAACTCATGGATTATAAAGGATCTGCATCCAGAATATGAAAATCAAGTTCTCAGAGCTCAATAATGACAAAACAAATAACCCAGTATAAATGAATCAAATAATTAAATAGATACTTCAATAAAGAGGAGATGCAGATGAAAAATAAGCAATTAAAACAAAGATAAATAGCTGGAACTTAACTGATTTAAAAAGCTTTTGCACAGCAAAAGGAACAGTCAGCAGAGTAAAGAGACAACCTACAGAGTGAGAGAAACTCTTCACAATCTATACATCTGACAAAGGACAAATATCCAGAATCTACAACAAACCCAAACAAATTAGCAAAGAAAAAAACAATACCATCAAAATGTGGGCTAAGGATATGAATAGACAATTCTCTAAAGAAGATACACAAATGGCCAACAAACATGAAAAAATGCTCAACCTCACTAATGATCAGAGAAATGCAAATCAAAACCACAAGGCGATACCACCTCACTCTTGCAAGAATGGCCATAATCAACAAATCAAAAAATAATAGATGTTGGTGTGGCTATGCTGAACAGGGATCACTTCTTCACTGCCAGTGGGACTGTAAACTAGTACAATCACTATGGAAAACAGTGTGGAGATTCCTTAAAGAACTGAAAGTAGAACTACCATTTGATCTAGCAACCCCACTACTGGGTATCCACCCAGAGGAAAAGAAGTCATTATACAAAATGATACTTGCACACACACGTTTATAGCAACACGATTCACAATTGCAAAAATGTGGAACCAACCCAAGTGCCCATTGATCAATGAGTGGATGAAGAAACTGTGGAATATATATATATACACTATGGAATACTACTCAGCCATAAACACGAATGAATTAATGGCATTCACAGCGACCTGGATGACATTGGAGACTATTATTCTAAGTCAAGTAACTCAGGAATGAAAAACCAAATATCCAATGTTCTCACTCATAAGTGGGAGCTAAGGTATGAGAATGCATAGGTATAAGAATGACATAATGGACTTTGGGGACTCAGGGGGAAAGGATTGGAAGGGGGTGAGGAGTAAAAGACTACAAGTTGGGTGCAGTGTATACTGCTCGGGTGATGGGTGAACCAAAATCTTACAAATCACCACTAAAGCACTTATTCATGTAAGCAAATACCACCTGTTTCCCAATAACCTATGGAAATAAAAAATTTAAAAACAAAATAACCAAAAAAGCCTGATAACTGCTAATAGTAAATATTTACTTTCCTTCATTATTTGTATGATGTTTAATGTTTTAAAAAATTGTTTGGTTTTATTTTCTTATTGTGAAAGTATTATATTCTTAGCACAGAACATGTAAAAGAAAACAAAATCTCCTACCGCTTTTTGTATTTTTTTTATTTTCTCTCTATCTCTGTGTGTGTGTGTGTGTGTGTGTGCGCGTGGGTGCACTCATGCACATGACTGTGTGGTAAAGACTCTAAACATAAGATCTACCCTCTTAGCAAATCTGTAAATATATGTTTACATTCATTTTGCAAATGTTTTACCTCGCTTTTTTCTTTTGAAAATTGACCTTTAAATTGCATTGTTTAAAAAGTTTCCTATTCCATTCTCCATTTCTATAATATCAACTTTCTTATTTTTTTGCACAGGAGGGTGACTATAATTAACAGTAAGACATTATATGACATAATAGCCAGACGAGAGTCCTTTGAATGTTCTCACCACAAAAAAATGATGAATGCATAAGATACTGGTGTTAACAATTCTGATTTGATCATATTACAACATATACATGTATTGAAACGCCAAATTTTACCCCATAAAATTGTACAATTAGAATATGTTAACTAAGAAAAAGAAACAGTTTATAATCATATAAAAATGTGTATAAAGTAAAAAAAAAAAAAAAGAGTAGCCACCTGACACAGATCAAGAGATCCTGAGTTTAGCCAATGCCATGATTAAATTAGACATCTATGATGTGCTGGGAAGAAAATGAGTGTAATTTTCATGTGAGAGGAAATAAAAGATAACACCCTTTTTTGGTTCCATATGAACTTTAAAGTAGTTTCTTCCAATTCTGTGAAGAAAGTCATTGGTAGCTTGATGGGGATGGCACTGAATCTATAAATTACCTTGGGCAGTATGGCCATTGAGGTATTATTGACAGATAAAATTTCATATATTTAAAGTGTATGAATTGATGGTTATGTGTACGTATACATTGTGAAATGATCACCACAGTCAAGCCAATAAATACATCCACTACCTCATAGTTACCATTTATGTGTGTGTGTGTGTGTGTGTGTGTGTGTGTGTGTGGTGAAGACACAAGATCAATTCTCTAAGAAAATTTCAAGTGTACAATACAGTATTAACTATACTCAACATGCTGTAAATTACATCACCATAACTTATTCATCTTATAACTGAAAATTTGTACCCTTTGATCAACATCTCCCCATTTCTCCTCCACTCTTATATAGCTCCTGGTAATTATCTTTCTACTCTGCTTCTATAAGACTGATTTTTGGGATTCTACATATAGTTGAGATCATACAGTATTTGTATTTATTTGTCTGACTTATTTTATTTAGCAAAATATCTTTCAAGTTCACCCATTTTGTCACAAATGACATAATCTCCTATATATGTGTACATATATAATTATGTTAATGTAATATGTATGTTATATGAATATATACTTATATATTAATTTTAATATATAAATAATTCCATTTTAATTTTGTTAATATTTAATATATTAATTAATTCCATTCATTAGTTGATGGACAATTAAGTTGTTGCATGTCCTGGCTATTGTGAATAATGCTGCAATAAACATGGGAGTACAGGTATCTATCTCTTCGAGATATTAATTTTATATTCTTTTGTTATCTACCCAGAAGTGGGATTGCTGGATCATATAGTAGATACAATTTGAATTTTTTCAGGAACCTTTATATTGTTTTTCATAGTGGCTGCATTATTTTACATACCCACCAACAGTATACAAGAGTCCCCTTTTCTCCATATCCTTGCCAACACCTGATACCTTTTGTCTTTTTCATTATAATTATCCTAACAGTTGTGAGTTGATAGGTCACCATGGTTTTGATTTGCATTTTACGATAATTAGTAATGTTGAACATTTTTTCATACGCTTTCTGGCCATTTGTATGTCTTCTTTGGAAAAAAAGTCTATTTAGGTCCCTTTGCTTATTGTTTAATCACATTAGTGGTCCTTTTGGTATTGAGTTGTTTGCTATTGCATTCCTTATATATTTTCAATATTAACTCCTTATCAGATATATGATTTGCAAATATGTTATCCCATTTCAAGGTTTTTAAGTCCAACTTTGGAGGAATGGATGAGTTCATCTTCTGCCAGGTTACTCACTCACCGTGGCTGAGTGACACTGGAGCTGTGTAGCAGGGTTGCTTCAGAATCTTCTAAGCTCAGTGTGCCTGCCTCTAGGTATACAAACAAGCATTTCTCCTGGCAGATTCCTGGGTAGGCAGCACTTCTTCCAGATCACAATGAGGAGGGGCTAGAGCTTCGTTAAAGGGACTCCTTGGGATCTGCAGTTAAACTGGAATTTACCAGCCCGCCTGTAGGAGCATAAACAGATGCATCTTCTACCTGGTGTGCATCTTCTACCTGGTGTGGGCAGGACTAACCATTGCTGAGAGAGGCTGAAGCTAGATCATGGGCTGCTTGAGAGTTCACAACTCAGACTGAAGTTGGCAGGCCTATTACCTAAGGTATGGGAAGACACAGTGCCTCCTGGGTCTCTACAAGGGTGTTACTTGTGGCAAAACCAAGACCAAACAAGGCTATAGGTGAATCTGCAGGTGGAAAGAGCTATTTCTGAATTTGTGGCTAGGACCATGGCCAACAAGCCTGCCACCAGGACCTGGGCCCTTCTTAGAAGAAGAATTCTTTTTGGTCTTGTACTCCACCAGGGTTTCGCAATATTTTGCCTGGATCTCAAAGCTCCTACAAAAGCACTTTTATGCATGATGATTGCCATTTTATTGTTGCTGTGGGAGGGTATAATTGGAAAACCTGATACAGTTTGGATATTTGTCTCTCCAAATCTCATGTTGAAATAAGATCTCAAATGTTTGAGGTGGGGCCTAATGGAAGTTGCTTGGTTCATGGGGGCAGATTCCACATGAACAACTTGGTGCCCTGCCCATGGCAATCAGTGAGTTCTTGCTCTATTAATTCACATGAGACCTGATTGCTTAAAAGAGCCTAGCACCTACACTCTGTCTGGCTTCCTCTCTTGCCATGTGACATGCCAGCTCCATTTGCCTTCCACCATGAATAAAAGCTTCCTGAGACTCTCACCAGAAACTGAGCAGATGCCAGTGCCATGCTTCTTCTACAGCCTGTAGAACCATGAGCCAAATAAACCTGTTTTGTCTATAAATTGCCCAGTCTCAGGTATTCTTTTATAGCAACGCAAAATGGGCTAATACAACACCCTACAGCCCCGAATATATCCACCATCATGTTAATGTCACTCTCTCTAGAAATCTGTACTCCATAAAAGTATCTTTTAAAGATGAAGAAAGAATAAAAACTTTTAAAAAACACACAAGGGCTGAAAGAATGTATCACAAAGAAATTTTGAGTACAAAACGTGTTAAAGCAGAAGGACGTTGGCCTCAGCTAATATCATATGGAAATTCTAATCCGCACCAGAAGATGAGAGCACTGGAAGTAATAAATATATGGTTAAAGTTAATCACTTTTGTATTAGTTAAATTTCATTTTTTAAATGTTTTTATTTTTTAATTATACTTTAAGTTTTAGGGTACATGTGCACAAGGTGCAGGTTAGTTACATATGTATATATGTGCCATGTTGGTCTGCTGCACCCAGTAACTCTTCATTTAACATTAGGTTTATCTCCAAATGCTATCCCTCACCCCTCCCCCTACCCCACAACAGGCCCGGTGTGTGATGTTCCCCTTCCTGTGTCCATGTGTTCTCATTGTTCAATTCCCACCTATGAGTGAGAACACGCGGTGTTTGTTTTTTTGTCCTTGCGATAGTTTGTTGAGAATGATGGTTTCCAGCTTCATCCATGTCCCTGCAAAGGACATGAACTCATCCTTTTTTATGGCTGCACAGTATTCCATGGTGTATATGTGCCACATTTTCTTAATCCAGTCTATCATTGTTGGACATTTGGCTTGGTTCCAAGTCTTTGCTATTGTGAATAGCGCTGTAATAAACATACGTGTGCATGTGTCTTTATAGCAGCATGATTTATAATCCTTTGGGTATATACCCAGTAATGGGATGGCTGGGTCAAATGGTATTTCTAGCTCTAGATCCCTGAGGAATCGCCACACTGACTTCCACAATGCTTGAACTAGTTTACAGTCCCACCAACAGTGTAAAAGTGTTCCTATTTCTCCACATCCTCTCCAGCACCTGTTGTTTCCTGACTTTTTAATGATCGCCATTCTAACTGGTGTGAGATGGTATCTCGTTGTGATTTTGATTTGCATTTCTCTGATGGCCAGTGATGATGAGCATTTTTTCATGTGTCTTTTGGCTGCATAAATGTCTTCTTTTGAGAAGTATCTATTCATATCCTTCTCCCACTTTTTGATGGGGTTGTTTTTTCCTTGTAAATTTGTTTGAGTTCATTGTAGATTCTGGATATTAGCCCTTTGTCAGATGAGTAGGTTGGGAAAATTTTCTCCCATTTTGTAGGTTGCCTGTTCACTCTGATGGTAGTTTCTTTTGCTGAGCAGAAGCTCTTTAGTTTAATTAGATCCCATTTGTCAATGTTGGCTTTTGTTGCCATTGCTTTTGGTGTTTTAGACATGAAGTCCTTGCCCATGCCTATGTCCTGAATGGTATTGCCTAGGTTTTCTTCTATGGTTTTATGGTTTTAGGTCTAACATTTAAGTCTTTAATCCATCTTGAATTACTTCTTGTATAAGGTGTAAGGAAGGGATCCAGTTTCAGCTTTCTACATATGGCTAGCCAGTTTTCCCAGCACCATTTATTAAATAGGGAATGCTTTCCCCATTTCTTGTTTTTGTCAGGTTTGTCAAAGATCAGATGGTTGTAGATATGCAGCATTATTTCTTAAGGCTCTGTTCTGTTCCATTGGTCTATATCTCTGTTTTGGTACCAGTACCATGCTGTTTTGGTTACTGTAGACTTGTAGTATAGTTTGAAGTCAGGTAGCGTGATGCCTCCAGCTTTGTTCTTTTGGCTTAGGATTGACTTGGCGATGCGGGCTCTTTTTTGGTTCCATATGAACTTTAAAGTAGTTTTTTCCAATTCTGTGAAGAAAGTCATTGGTAGCTTGATGGGGATGGCATTGAATCTGTAAATTACCTTGGGCAGTATGGCCATTTTCATGATATTGATTCTTCCTACCATGAGCATGGAATGTTCTTCCATTTATTTGTATCCTCTTTTATTTCATTGAGCAGTGGTTTGTAGTTCTCCGTGAAGAGATCCTTCACGTCCCTTGTAAGTTGGATTCCTAGGCATTTTATTCTCTTTGAAGCAATTGTGAATGGGAGTTCACTCATGATTTGGCTCTCTGTTTGTCTGTTATTGGTGTATAAGGATGCTTGTGATTTTTGCACATTGATTTTGTATACTGAGACTTTGCTGAAGTTGCTTATCAGCTTAAGGAGATTTTGGGCTGAGACGATGGGGATTTCTAGATATACAATCATGTCATCTGCAAACAGGGACAATTTGACTTCCTCTTTTCCTAATTGAATACCCTTTATTTCCTTCTCCTGCCTGATTGCCCTGGCCAGAACTTCCAACACTATGTTGAATAGGAGTGGTGAGAGAGGGCATCCCTGTCTTGTGCCAGTTTTCAAAGGGAATGCTTCCAGTTTTTGTCCATTCAGTATGACATTGGCTGTGGGTTTGTCATAGATAGCTCTTATTATTTTGAGATATGTCCCATCAATACCTAACTTATTGAGAGTTTTAAGCATGAAGGGTTGTTGAATTTTGTCAAAGGCCTGGATCTGGGTATATACCCAAAGGATTATAAATCATGCTGTTATAAAGACACATGCACATGTATGTTTATTGCGGCACTATCCACAGTAGCAAAGACTTGGAACCAACCCAAATGTGCAACAATGATAGACTGGATTAAGAAAATGTGGCACATATACACCATGGAATACTATGCAGCCATGAAACATGATGAGTTCATGTCCTTTGTAGGGACATGGATGAAGCTGGAAACCATCATTCTCAGCAAACTATCACAAGGACAAAAAACTAAACACCACATGTTCTCACTCATAGGTGGGAACTGAACAATGAGAACACATGGACACAGGAAGGGGAGCATCACACACCGGGGCCTGTTGTGGGGTAGGGGGAGGGGGCAGGGATAGCATTAGGAGATATACCTAATGCTAAATGATGAGTTAATGGGTGCAACACACCAGCATGGCACATGTATACATATGTAACTAACCTGCACGTTGTGCACATGTACCATAAAACTTGAAGTATAGTAAAAAAAAAAAAAAAGAATAAATTAGATTTGCTGGTGACAGCATAGGGCCAAGCTCAGTCAAGGGAACTCACACAGATGTGGATTCAATTCAATGGCATTGGTAGCTCACACATCAAAGATTCTTTTTTTTTTCTTTTTTTATAAATAAAGGGCCTTAGGAACTTTAGAGAAAAAAACTAGCATCTGGTATATGGGGAAAAAATGACAAGTTACTTGTCTAAAGTTATATATAACTTGATTTCCAAGATTTTACCATTATAATGGCCACATCTATTCCTTTCTCCATAAAACCACCTATATTCCCCCACTGAAAAGATCAAAAGAAATTATTTGTCCTTTAAACTGTATTCAAGCCAGTAACATAAAATATGTTCGGCATTAGATAATACAATTCTTTACTTACTTAGTCAGCTTGAAGATTTCTTCAAAGTCAGAATATAAGGAGTTATATAAATGCATTAAAACAATTTTTGTTGCAGTGCTTTGCTGACTCAGGGATGGCGAACTCCCAACCTTAAAACTTTGAGGTGGCAGGCTGGGCGTGGTGGCTCACGCCTGTAATCCCAGCACTTTGGGAGGCCAAGGCAGGAGGATCACGAGGTCAGGAGATGGAGACCATCCTGGCTAACACGGTGAAACCCCGTCTCTACTAAAAATACAAAAAAAATTAGCCGGGCGTGGTGGCAGGCGGCTGTAGTCCCAGCTATTCGGGAGGCTGAGCCAGGAGAATGGCGTGAACCCGGGAGGCGGAGCTTGCAGTGAGCCGAGATTGCGCCACTGCACTCCAGCCTGGGCAATAGAGCGAGACTCTGTCTCAAAACAAAACAAAACAAAAGAACTTTGAGGAGGCAACAGATGGTTTTGCGAAAAATAGCATAGTATTTAGGCTCAGAAGATTTAAAGTTGGTCAACTGGATTCAAAACTCAGACATGACACTTACCAGTGGTTTAGACTTGGTCAAGTTTTTAACTTCTCTGAGTCATTTTCACTTATATAAGGAGGCAAGAATACACATTTCATAGGGTTATTTTAAAGATTCAATGAGATAATGCATGTGTAGGACTAAATACACTGCTTAACATATAAAAATAGTTGTTATTGGTGCGATCATTGTTGTTATAAAATTACTGATTTTTAAAACCAAAAGGAGATTTTATAGGGTAGTTTGGAGAAGAAATAAATATATGTGAGATGAGAAATAAGTTTTTTTTACATTTTTTGCTTTTTTGAGTTTATATAAATAGTCCAGTTCATTGTAGATATATTACGAATGCAGGAAAGTAAATATCTGTAAGACTTTAACCACTCATAGTTAGTCATTATTAATTTTACCCAATGCAAATATGTGCATGGTTTGTGTATGCAAAAAATGGAATACCATACATATTTTATATATACAACAATTATTAAAAACCCATGATGTTCCAGCTATTTCTGACCTATATTTTCATTCGACGATACATAATGAACATCTTTCCAGGCTATTAAGTATAGATACAAGTGATTATTTTATTATCTGTACATGATCCATGGTAGATATTTATTTAGCCAATCTTTCATTTTTAGAAAAATTAGGGTGTTTCTATATTTTATTATGGATGATTTCATGGTGAATAAATATGTGCACAACTATTTGTCTGCACCTAATTATTGACTTTGATTACTAGAACTGAAAATACTATGTTAAAGGGTATATTATTTTAAAAATCTTTATTTTCATAATGATTTTTTATCTTTTTATAATTAAAACTTATATGTGTTACATGATTGTATATTTACATTTTTGAATAGGTGATACCTTAAAATTATTAAAAGGTAAATAGTAAAAAGGCTTAATCTCCCTTTTGTTCTCTAACTGCTTAGTTTTCCAACCACAAATAATCACTGTGATGGTTAATTTTATGTGTCAACTTGAGTGGGCCACGGAATGCCCAGATTATACATTGATTATCAATGTGTCTGCGAGGAGGATGTTTTTTGATGATACTAGCATTTGAATTGGTGATTTAGTAGATTGCTTGCTTCCATGTGGTTAGGCATTATCCAATCTGTTGAGGTCCTAAATAAAAGAAAAGGTGGAGTAAGAAGAAATTTGCTCTTTTTTTTTTTTCCTGCCTCGCCACTTGAGCTGGGACATCTCATCTCATCTTCTCCTGCTCTTGAACTGAGATTTACATCATCCATTCCCCCGATTCTCAAACCTTTCAACTCAGGCTAAATTATGTCACTGGCTTCCTTTTGTCTCTAGCGCAGAAAAAGCAGATTGTGGGACGTCTCAGCCTCAAAAATTGTACATCTAGAGTAGTCTAAAGATCTAAATTCATCCTAGAGGAGTGGAATTTCAAAAATAAATTTTCTGAATTGGTTCTTGAGTTTCCGGTATTGGTTCTCTAATCTGAGTAGATTTAAAGATGTTAATGACTCTGCTTCCAGTAGTAAAGACACATTGATAGTCCATGGTGTGAACTGTTTGTAGACATGCAAAATATCTGCATTTGATACTCATAATCAAATAATTATAATAAGCAAGGACCTACATGACTTTGGATATGATACTTTTAAACATTTTTGGAGAACCAATGAGTATGATGACATTGGTTGGATGCTCTCCTAATGTCACCGGATAAAACAAGAAAACGGTAAGCTAAAAAGTTTGAATTCCAAGCGTTAAGTGGCACACAAATGACTTAAGAACTTCTATGTCTGCCCTGAAAAAAAACTCTGATCTTGTAGAGTTGCAGAGCTTAGATTGCTGAATATCAAGTACAGACTTAATCTGGACACTGGCTGATTTATAACTCAAGTTGAACTCCCAGCCTTGCAGGATATCTATTGTTAAAGTGAAGGCACTGATTGGAAAAAAAAAAAAAGATCTGGTAAGGTGGGATGAGAATGGGAGGGAAGACCCTGATATAGCTGGAACTATTGTGCCCCTAGATCCTGATGAGTCTTCTTTGTCAGTGGAAGAGGCCTTTCCACCTCCAGTGAAAATGGGCTTCTTCCTCCAACAGAGTTGATCACCCTATGCCCAGCAGAAGCAGGCTCCCCAACCCCAACATCTTCACTCTTAGTGGTAGGGGCCTGTCTATATCCAGCAGTATCAGCCTCTCCACTCACAATGATATTGGCCTTTCCACCTCCTGAAGAGATTAACTCTGCATTGACTAATGACATTATAATGGTCTCACCTAAGGTAGTTGTCCTGCAAGATACTGCTGATTCTTCTCAGATTCCAACCCTACCACCCCTCTTCTATTCTATTTTTAAAAATTCTTAATTTTTAATTTTTGTGGTTACATAGTAGGTGTATATATTTATGGAGTACATGAGCTGTGTTAATTCAGACATGCAATGCATAAAAATCACATCATGGAGAATGGGGTATCTTTCCCCTCAAGCATTTATCCTTTGTGTTACAAACAATTCAATTACACTCTTTTAAGATGTACCATTAAATTACTATTGACTATAGTCACCCTGTTGTGTTATCTAATAATAGGTTTTATTCATTCTTTCTACTTATCATTTTTTGGGCCCATTAAACATCCCCACCTCCCACAATTTCCCACTACACTTTCCAGACTCTGGTAACAATCCTCCTACTCTCTATGTTCATAAATTTAATTGTTTTGATTTTTAGATCCCACAAATAAGTGATAACATGTAATGTCTGTCTTTCTTTTTCTGGCTTTCACTTAACATAATAATCTCCGGGTCCATCCATGTTGTTGCAAATGATAGGATCTCATTCTTTTTAATGGCTAAATAGTTCTCCATTGTGTGTATGTACCACATTTTTTTTACCTGTTCATCTGCTGATGGACACTTAGGTTGCTTCCAAATATTGGCTATTGTGAACAGTACAGCAACAAACATGGGAGTGCAGATACCACTTTGATATACAGATTTTCTTTCATTTGGGTATATACCAAGCAACGGGATTGCTGGGTAATATAGTAGCTCTGTTTTTAGTTTTGTGAGGAACCTACACACTGTTCTCTATAGTGGTTATACTAATTTACATTTCCACCAAGAGTGATCAAGGGTTCCCTTTTCTCCACATCCTTACCAGCATTTGTTATTGCCTTTTAGATACAAGCCATTATAACCGAGGTGAGATGGTATCTCATCATAGTTTTCATTTGCATTTCTCTGATGATCAATGATATTGAGCAGCTTTTCATATGTGTGTTTGCCATTTTTTGTCTTCTTTTGAGAAATGTCTATGCAAATCTTTTGCCCATTTGTTAATTAGAATATTAGATGTTTTCCTATAGAGTTGTTTTAGCTTCTTATATATTCTAGTTATGAATCCCTTGTCAGATGGGTAGCTTGTAAATATTTTTTCTCATTCTGTGGGTTGTCTCTTCACTTTGTTTATTGTTTCCTTTGTTGTGCAGAAGCCTTTTAATTTGATGTGATCCCATTAGGTCTAGTTTCTTTCTTCTACATATGGATATTCTATTTTTCCAGTACCATTTATTGATGAGACTATTTTCCCCAGTGTATGTTCCTGGTACCTTTGTCAAATGTGAGTTAACTGTGAGTGCATGGGTTTGTTTCTGGGCTCTCTATTCTGTTACACTGGTCTATGTGTCTGTTTTTATGCCAGTTCCATGCTGCTTTGATTACTATAGATCTCTAGTATAATTTGAAGTCAGGTAATGTGATTCCTCTAGTTTTGTTCTTATTCTTTCAGATAACTTTGTCTATTCTGGGTCTTTTGAGATTCCATATAAATTTTAGGGTAGTTTTCTTCTATTTCTGTGAATAATGTATTTGGTATTTTGATAGGGTTTACATTGAATCTGTCTATTGCTTTGAGTGGTATGGATATTTTAACAATATTGATTCTTCCAATCCATGAACATAAAATATATATATATTTTTCATTTTTAGATGTCCTCTTCAATTTATTTCATCAGTGTTTTATAGTTTCTATTATAAAGATCTTTCACTTTTTTGGTTAAGTTAATTCCTATGTGTTTGATTTTATGTGTGGCTGTTGTAAATGTGATTATATTTTTATTTCATTTTCAGATTGCTCACTGTTGGTATACAGAAATGGTACTGATTTTTGTATGTTGATTTTGTATCGTGCAACTTTCCTTAATTTGTTTATCACTTCTAATAGTTTTTTGTGGAGTTTTTAGGTTTTTCAAAATATATCATCTGCAAATGGACAATTTGACTTCTTCCATTTCAATTAGGATCCTCTTTCTTTCCTTCTCTTGTCTCATTGCTCTAGCTAGGACTTCCAGTACTATGTTGAATAACAATGGTTGAAAATGGGAATCTTTGTAGTGTTCCAGATCTTAGAGGAAAGCCTTTCAGTTTTTTCTCCATCCAGTATGATACTAGCTGTGGGTCTGTCGTATAGGGCTTCTATTATATTGATGTATGTTTCTTCTACCCCCAGTTTTCTTAGGGTTTTTTTTCATGAAATTATGTTGAATTTTATCAAGCACCTTTTCAGCACGAATTGAAATGATCATATAGTTTTCATCATTCTGTTGATACACTGTATCACAGTGATAAATTTGCAAATCTTGAACTATTCATTTCAAAATGTTGAAGTCAGTTTGCTCGTATTTTGCTGAAGATGTTTGCATCAATGTTCATCAGATATATTGGCCTATAGGTTTCTTTTTTTGATATGTCTTTGATGGTTTTGTTGTCAGAATAATACTGGTCTTGTAGAATGAGATTGGCAGTATTCCCTCCTCCTCTAATTTTTGAAATACTTTAAGTAGGATTGGTATTAATTTTTCTTTAAATGTCTGGTGGAATTCAGCAGTAAAGCCATGAGTCCCTGAGCTTTTCTTTAGTGGTAGACTTTTTTTATTACAGCCTTTTACCTTGTTATTTATTTATCTGTTTAGGTTTTTTATTTCTTCCTGGGTCAATCTTAGTAGGTTGTATGCATCTAGGAATGTTTCACTTCTAGATTTTCTAATTGACTGGCATATAGTTACTCATAGTAGCCACTAATGAGCCTTCGAATTTTTGCAGTAGCAGTTGTGATGTCTGCCTTTTCATTTCTGATTTTATTTTCTTTCTTTCTTTTTTAGTTGTCTGGCTAAAGTTTTGTCAATTTTGTTTAACTTTCAAAAAAAACAAGTTTTTCTTGATTGATTTTTGATATTGTTTATTTTCATTTTAGTTTCATTTATTTCTGCTTTGATCTTTTTTTTTTACTAATTTTACTATATATATAATAATACATATTATATATAGTATATAACATATATATATCTAACATTTTCTTTATCCATTTGTTGATTGATGGGCATTTGTACTGGTTCCCTATTTTTCCAATTGTGAATTATGCCACTATAAACATATATGTGCAATATTTTTTTTTTGTATAATGACATTCGTTCCTCTGAGTAGATACCCAGTAGTGGGATTGCTGGATCAAATAGCTTTCCTCCACTTTCCTGGTGACCTGTGTGATGCGGCAGAGGCAGCCATAATCCTCCTGGGAACATAACTCTAATGGCCTTAAAACCACTTAAAACCACACCCCATCCTATACAGCAGTGGCAGCAAGCCCTGTCTCAAGAGAGTTTGAGTTTAGACATACCTAACCCTGCCCCCACCTGATGGTCTTTCTCTACCTGCACTTGTAGCCAAAGACAAAGGCATGCACCAGTGAATAAAATGTATATTTTGCAGTTGTGGGGTGGAATGTTCTGTAAATATCTGTTTAGTCAATTTGTTCTAGAGTATAGTTGAAATCCATTTTTTCTTTGTTGACTTTCTGGCCTGGTGACCTTTCTGGTGCTGTCAGTGAAGTATTGAAGTCCCCCACTATTATTGTGTTGCTGTCTACCTTATTTCTTACATCTAGTAGTAATTGTTTTATAAATTTGGGCGCTCCCCTCTCAGGTGCTTATATATTAAGATTGCAATATTTTCCTATTGGACAAGACCTTTTTTCATTATATAATGTCTCTGTTTTAACTGCTGTTGCTTTAAAGTTTCTTTTGTCTGACATAGGATTAGCTACTCCTGCTCATTTTTGGCGTCCATTTGTATAGAATGTCTTTTTTCACCCCTTTGCCTTAAGTTTGTGTGAGTCTTAATGTGTTAAGTGAGTCTCTTTAAGGCAGCAGACACTTGGTTGGTCAATTCTGCAATTCTGTATCTTTTAAATGGAGCATTTAGGCCATTTACATTCAACGTTAGTATTGAGATGTGAGGTACTGTTTCATTCATCATGCTATTTGTTGCCTGAATACCTTGCTTTTAAAATTTTTTATTGTATTCATGTTTTATACATCCTGTGAGATTCATGCTTTAAAGGGTTCTTTTTTGATGTATTTTCAGTATTTGTTTCAAGATTTAGAGCTCCATTTAGCAGTTCTTGTAGTGCTGGCTTGGTAGTGCCAAGTTCTCTCAGCATTTGTTTGTCTGAAATAGACTGTATCTTTCCGTCATTTATGAAGCTTAGTTTTGCTAGATAAAAAATTTTTGCCTGATAATTGTTTTGTACAATGAGGCTGAAGATAGGGCCCTAATACCTTCTAGCATGTAGGGTTTCTGCTGATAAATATGCTGTTAATCTTATAGGTTTTCCTTTATAGGTTACCTGGTGCTTTTGCCTCACAGCTTTTAATATTCTCTCCTTCATTTTGACCTCAGATCACCTGATTACTATGTTCTTAGGTGATGATATTTTGCAATGAATTCCCCAGGTGTTCTTTGAGCTTCTTGTGTCTGGATGTCTAGATCCAAATACAAGCAAGACTAAGAAAGCTTTTCTCAATTATTCCCCCAAATATGTTTTCCAAGCTTTTGGATTACTCTTCTTCCTCAGGGATGCCAATTATTTGGTTGTTTGATATAATTCCAAATTTCTTGAAGGCTTTGTTTATTTTTAATTTTTTTTTGTTTCTGATTGAATTATTTGAAAAACCTTCTTTTCTAGCTCTGAGGTTCTTTCTTCTTCTTCAATTCTATTGCAGAGACGTTCCATGCATTCTGCATTTTTTTGCGTGTGTCCTTTATTTTTTTTCTTTGTCTTTGTTGGATTGGATTATTTGAAAAACCTCATCTTCAAGCTCTGAGGATTTTTCTTCTGCTTCTTCGATTCTATTGCTGAGAGATTCCATACATTCTGCATTTCTTTGTGTGTCTTTTAAGCTACCCATTTCACTGATGATTTCTCTTCTCATATCTTGTATCTTTTTTTTTATTTCCTTATGTTGGACTTCACCTTTTTCTAGTGCCTTCTTGATTCACTTAATAATCAACCTTCTGATTTCTTTTTCGGGCAATTCAGGGATTTCTTCTTGATTTGTATCCATTGGTGGTGAGCTAGTGTGATATTTTGGGGGCGTTAAAAAACCTTGTTTTGTCATATAACTAGAACTGTTTTTCTGTTTCCTTCTCATTTGGGTAGGCTATGTCAGAGGCAAGATCTGGGGCTCAAAGCTGCTGTTCAGATTCTTTTGCCCAATGAGGTGCTCCCTTGATGTAGTATTCTTTTTCTTTTTCTAAGAATGTGGCTTCCCGAAAGCCAAATTGTAGTGATTGGTATTTGTCTTCTTGATCTAACCACCCAGCAGGGCTACCAGGCTCTGGGCCGGTACTGGGGGCTGTCTGCATAGAGTTCTGTGATGCGAACCATCTTCAGATCTCTCAGCCACGGATATCAGCACTTGTTTTGGTCGAGGTGGCAGGGGAGTAAAATGGACTCTGAGGGTCCTTATTTGTAGTTGTTTAGTGCAGTAGTTTTGTGCTGGTTGGTTTACTGCCAGCAGGTGGTACTTTCAAGAGAGCATCAGCTTTGGTAGTATAGGGGAGGATCAGGCAGCGGGTAGGTCCCTAGAACTTCCAAGAGGAAGTTACCTTTTTCTTTATCTATCAGGGTGGGTAGAGAAGGACCATCAAATAGGGTCAGTGTTAGGCATGTCTGTGCTCAGACTCTTTGGTGGGGCTTGCTGCCACTGTTGTGGGGGATGGGTTTGTGTTTCCCAGGTCAATGGAGTTATGTTTTCAGGAGGATTACGGCTGCATCTGCTGTGTCATGCAGGTTGTCAAGAAAGTGGAAGAAAACCAGCAGTTACAGTCTTCACCAAACTCCCATGCAACCCAAAAGGCTGGTCTCACTTTAACTCTGCTCCCCGCAACAGCACCAAGTTGTTACCAGACAGTGGGTCAGCAGGGCTGAGAACTTACTCCAGGTTACCAGCATCCCAGCTAAGAAAACAAGCAGTGCTTTAGCATCTCCCTGCCTGTCGAGTCTGCACACTGGATTGATGCCTTCCCACGAGTTCTGGCCAGGAAACTTCGTGTTTGGTTGAAATTGTTACAATGTCTAGCTCTAGGTTTCCTTCTCCCTGTGGTCTTTTTCCAGTTTTTCTTGCAGCCTTCCCCAAGGACTTCTGTGAGAGAAGTAAGAAATGACTTCCTTGGGGACCCAGAGATCCCACAGGGCTTTTGCCGATTTTCCTCTACCCCTATATTTCACTCGGCTCTATAAATTGTCTCAGCTTTAGGTAAGGTCAAATCCTTCTCCCATGATTTGGACATTCAAGTTCTTTAGTAAGGATGTGTATTCGGGAATGGATGGTCCCTTTTTCCCACCTTCACAGTTTGGGCAATTACAGTATTTGGGCTGTCTCCACATCCTGCAGGAGCAATCCACTTCCATCAAAGGGTCTGTGGATTCTTTTGGCTTTACTAGTATATTCCTGCAGTAGTTCTTAGAGCAAAAGTTCATGATGTGAGTCCCCACACTCTGTTCTGATTGTCCAAGTTGGAGCTGTAGTTTAGTCCTGTCTCCTATTTGCCACTTTTCCTCAGTTTTCTCACCACTGAAAGTTTATACTGTTACTGTTTCTCCCCATCTTCCCCAAATGGCTTACTAATTTTTGCCAGGGTAGTTGTACATTGGAGAAAATAAAATAATCAAGACTTTTGAGTGAAATATGAAATATTTCTCATAATAATTTCTCTGTATATCTTTGTTTCTCTCTATATATATCTCATATATCATATATAGCAGTCATAAATATCAATTATATATAATAAATCATATATATTATATGTATATAAATAATACACACATACATATGATATATTCAGCCTATTGTTTCTGTTTCTCTGCAGAACCTCCATTAATAGAATCACACTAATTAGATTCCTGTATATATTCTTTCTAGAGTTTGGTTTACAAATACAGGCACATATAAATACACATCCCTAGGTCCATTATATTTATGATATAAAACTATCATATTGTACACATTGCTATGCACTTTAATTTTTTCATGTTAACAGTTTTGTCATTCTTATTTATAACTGCATTGCATTCCACTGACTTTGTGTACCATAATATTAAGCCAGTAGGCTATTGGTGGTTATTTGAGTGGTTTATGACCACTTCTGATAATGTTTTAACTAATAAATGTTCCCTGTCATTATTTTGTCTGTGAATATATCTGTGGAACAAATATAAGTAGCTTTGCTGGGCCAAAAAAAAAAGGGCATGTGCAATTTGAACGTATGGTGACAAATTGCCCTTTTTGGGGGTTATGCCAATTTATATGCCCACCAGCAGTGTATGAGAGTGCCTACTTTTCCACAGCCTTACCAATGGAATCTGTTGTCAAACTTAAGATTTTTATTAAAATGGTACTTTTTAAAATTGCATTTTGCTGTTATTTTAATTTGTTCTTCCTCATAAGTAACACATTTACATGTTATAGGGATGTTTACATTTTATTTTTGTAGGTGGTCTTTTCATGTCTTATGCTTATATTTTATTGTGTTATTGGCCTTTTATAAAGACCCATGCTTGGAACATTCTCCAAGGTAGACTATAAGCTAGGGCACAAAAAAGTGTCAACAAAGTTTTACAAAAATGAAATCAAATAAAGTAACTTCTCAGATCAAAGTTGAATAAAACCAGAAGTTAGTATCAAGAGAAACATTGGAAAATATGCAAATACATGAAAACTAAACAACATGCTCCTGAATGACCATTGAGTCATTCAAGAAATTAACAAGAAAAGTAAAAATAAAGAGTAAAATATAAAAATGAAAACACAACATACCAAAACCTGTGGGATAAAGCAGATGCAGTGCTAAAAGGGAAGTTTATAGCATTAAATGCCTACATCAAAAAGTTAGAAAGGTTACAAATTAACAATCTAATGACACACCTCAAAGAACTAGAAAAGCGAGAAGAAACCAAACCCCAAATTAGAAGATGAGAAATAACCAAATAAGAGCAGAATTAAATGAAACAGAGACTGAAAAGAATACAAAGAATCAATGAAACCAAAAGTTTAGTGGTGACAAATTCTCTCAGCATTTGCTTGTCTGTAAAGGATTTTATTTCTCTTTCACTTATGAAGAGAATTTAAAATAGCTGTTTTGAGGAAATGCAAAGAAATTCAAGATAACAAAAGAATTCATAATTCTATCAGATGAATTTAACAAAGATTAAAATAATTAAAGAGAATCAAGCAGAAATTCTGGAGCTGAAAATTGAAATTGGCATAATGAAAAATGCCTCAGAGTCCCTTAATAACAGAATTGATCAAGCAGAAGAAAGAAACAGTAAGCTGGAAGAAAGGCTGTTTGAAAATACACAGCCAGAGGAGACAAAAGAAAAAAAACAATGAAGCACACATACAGAATCTAGAAAATATCCTCAAAAGGGCAAAGTTAAGAATTATTGACCTTGAAGGAGAGGTAGAGAAAAAGATAGGTGTAGAAAGTGTATTCCAAGAGAGAAGAACACAGAACTTCCAAAACCTAGAGAAAAATATTGATATCCAACTACAAGAAGGTTATAGAATACTAAACCAATTTAACCAAAGACTACCTCAAGACATTTAATACTCAAACTTCCAGAGATCAGGAATGAAGAGAAAAATCATAAAAGCAGCAAGAGAAAAGAAACAAATAGCATCCAATGGATATCCAAAATGTCTAGCAGAAGACTTTTCAGTGGAAGCCTTACAGGTCAGCAGAGAGTGGCATGACATATTTAAAGTGCTGAAGAAAAAAAAAGACCCTAGAATAGTACATCTGGCAAAACTATTCTTCAAACCTGAAGGTGAAATAAAGACTTTTTCAGACAAACAAAAGCTGAGAGATTTCTTAAACACCAGACCTGTCCTACTTGTAATGTGAGAACTTTAATTGGAAAGAACAGGACATTAATGAGCAATAAGTAATTACCCGAAGGTATAAAACTCACTGGTAATAGTAAGTACACAGAAAATCACAGGACATTATAACACTGTAACTGTGGTGTGTAAATTACTTTTGTGCAAAGTAGAAAGACTAAATAATTAACCATACAAAAATAATAACTACAACAACTTTTCAAGACATAGTACAATAAGATACAAATAGAAACAACAAAAAGATGAAAAGCAGGAGGATGATTTTAAGGTGTAGCATTTTTATTAGTTTTCTTTGTGGTTGTTTGTTGGCTTGTTTATGCGAACAGTGTTAAGCTGTTATCAGGTTAAAATAATGAGTTTTAAGATAGTATTTACAAACTTCAAAGTACCCTAAAACCAGAAAATATACAATAAATACAGAAATAATAAAAAGCAAGAAACAAAATTATATCACCAGAGAAAATCACCTTCACTAAAGGAAGTAAAAAAGGAACAAAAAGAAGGAAGACGAGACCACAAAACAACCAGAAAACAAAGAAAAAAATGTCAACAGTAAGTCCTTACTTGTCAATAATAACATTGAATGTAATTGTCTAAACTCTCCAATCAAAAGACATAGAATGCTGAACGGATAAAAATACAAAACTCATTAACCTGTTGTCTACAAGAAACACACTTTACCTATAAAGATACACATAAACTAAAAATAAAGGTATTGAAAAAGCTATTTTATGCCAATGGAAAGCAGAAGAGAATAGGAGTAGCTATATTAATATCAGAGAAAATTGATTTCAAGACAAACTATAAGGATAGACAAAAATGTCACTAATGATAAAGGGGTCAATTCAGCAAGAGGGTGTAACAATTTTAAATATACATGCACCCAACACTACAGCAACCAGACATATGGAGCAAATATTATTAAAGATACAGATACAGATAGGTCCCAATACAATAATAGCTGGAGACTTCAACACCCCACTTTTAGCACTGGACACATATTCCAGACAGAAAATCAACAAGAAACATCAGAGTTAATTTGTCCTGTAGACCAAATAGATCAAATAAATATTTAAAGAGCATTTTTAACCAACAGCTGCAGAATACACATTGTTTTTTCTTAGCACATAGATTATCAAAGATATACCATATGTTAAGCTGCAGAACAAGTCTTAAAATATTAAAACAAATTACAATAACATCAAGCATCTTCTCTGATCTTTGCTGACCACAGTGGAATAAAACTAAAAATCAGTTACAAGAGGAATTTTGGAGAGTAAGCAAACACATGAAAATTAAACAATATGCTCCTGAAAGACTAGTAGGTCAATGAAAAATCTTAAGAAGACAATTGAAAAACTGCTTGAAAAAACTAATGGAAACACCACATACCAAAACCTAGGGGATACTGCAAAAGCAGTACTAAGACATAAGGGTATAGCTATAATTGCCTACATGAAAAAAAGAAGAAAATTTTCAAATAAAAATATTTAATGGTGCATCTTAAAGAACTAGAAAAGCAAGAGCAAACCAAAACTAAAATAAATAGAAGAAAAGAAATAAAAAAGATTAGAGAAAAAATAAATGAATTTGAAATGAATAAAATAGAAAACATCAATGAAACTAAAAGGTTTTTTTTGAAAAGTTAAACAAAATTTAAGAAACTTTATCTAAGCTAACTAAGAAAAAAGAAAGAAGAGTCAAATAAATAAAACCAGAGATGAAAAAGGAGACATTTCAACTGCCACTGCAGAAATTAAATGAAGCATTAGTGGCCACTATGTGCAACAATATGCCAATAAATTGGAAAATCTGAAGAAATTGGAAAAATTCCTAGACACGTACAACCTACCAAGATTGTACCAGAAAGAAATCCAAAACCTGAATATACCAATAACAAGTAATGAGATAGAAACCATAACAAAAAATCTCTCTGTAAAGAAAAGCCTGGGGCCCAGTGGCTTCACTGCTGAATTCTACAAAGCAAAGAACAACTAATACTGACCCTACTCAACCTATTCCAAAAAAAACAGGAGAAAGGGATACTTCCAAACTCATTCTATGAGGCCACTCTTAATCTGAAACCAAAGCCATACAAAGACAAAAAAAAAAAAATCTAGCGGGCAATGTCTCTAATGAATACTGTTGTAAATATCTTGAACACAATACCAGCAAACCAAATTCAATAATATGTTAAAAAGTTCATTCACCATGAAGAAGTAGGATTTATCCCTGGGATGCAAGGATGGTTTCACATATGCAAATCAATCAATGTGATAAATCACATCAACAGAATAAAGAACAAAAATCATATGCTCATTTAAATGGATACTGAATAAAGCATTTAATCAAATTCAACATCCCTTCATGGCAAAAACCATCAAAAAACTGGGTTAGAAGGAATATATCTCAACATAATAAAGGCCATATGTCACAGACCCACATCTAGTGTCATGAATGGAAAAAAAGTGGAAGGCTTTCCTCTAAGATCTGGAAAACTACAAGGACACCCACTTTCACTACTGTTATTCAACATTGTACTGGAAGTCATAGCCAGAACAATTAGACACAAGTAAGAAATAAAGGATATCCAAATTGGAAAGGAAAAAGTCAAATCATCCTTGTTTGCAGATGATATTTTTTTTTATTTGGAGAAACCTAAAAAGACTCCACAAAAAATTACTAGAAGTGATGAATTCACAAAAATTGCAGGATACAAAATCAACATACACAAATCACTAGCAGTTCTATATGCCAACAAACAACAAGCTGAAAAAGAAATAAAAATGTAACCCCACTTGCAATACCACACATAAAATTAAATACCTAGGAATTAACCAAAAAGTAAAAGATCTCTATAATGAAAACTCTAGGACACTGATGAAGGAAATTGAGGAGAATCAAATCATGTTAAAAAGCTCCTGCACAGCAAAGGAAACAAACAACATAGTAATGGGAAAACCTACAGGATGGGAGAAAATACTTGCAAACTACCCATCTGACAAGGGATTAATAACCAGAATATATAAGAGCTCAACATAATACTAGAAGTCCTGGTAAGAGCAACCAGCCAAGGACAATAAATAAAAGGCATCCAAAAAGGAAAAGAAGAAGAAATTATTCATGTTTGCAGAAGATATGATTCTTTAACTAGAAAATCCCATAGTCTCTGTCCAAAGGCTTTTTGATCGCATAAATAACTCAGCAACGTTTCAGGATTCAAAATAATCAGGTCAAGCACCAAAGGAGTGAAAACAAAGCCTGATAACAGTTTGCCTCCCAGCAAGAAGTAGCACAGTTGGTTTGGGTTTGCGTCACCACAGTTTCCGAGTTAAAACTACAGGCCATTCCGCCTTGCAAACCTTACACGGCCTCTCATTTCATTGTGAGTGTATCCACTGGTGGCCCGAGCCGATTTTTTCAGCTGCTCCAAGAACTGGGATCCAAGTCTTCATGAAAAAGGCCCAAGCACAGTATTCACTCTATAAATCTGCTACCTAAGACGGTGAGTGCCAGCGCAGTTTTGTACAAAGTCTCAGTTTCCCATCACTCTTGGTAAAGTGCTGGTGCTGCCGGAGGACCTGCCCCAGCAAGATTTTTCTCAAGAGCGAGACGCCATCAGCCCCGGCAGGCCCAAGCAGATTCTCGGCCCTTCTAGAGAGCAGCAAATAGAAGAAGGGAAGCCATTCTTGCCGCATTCTCCTCGTGGCAGGTATGGCCAGGCCCTCAAGAGGAGCAGCGACAGTGGGTACCTGGAAACGACCTGCCCCTTGAGAGAAACTAGGTCTCGTTTGTATTTTGTGGTGTTAGTTAGGAAATTATTTATTTATTTACAAGACAAAGTTTTAACTTCACTCAGACAAGGTGGGAAATGCAGTCCCTATCCCTTCCAAAGCACGGAGCAAAGAAACGAGAGTGTTTAAACCGTAAGTCTCCACGCTGGTGTTTAAGTCATTAAAAAGAAGATATTTGAAGAGAAAAAAAATCAATGTAGAAACATCAGTAGCGTTCCTACACGCAAACAACATCCAAACTAAGAGCCAAATCAAGAATGCAATGTAATTCACAATAGGCATAAAGAGAGCAAAATAGCTAGGAATACAACTGACCAGGTAGGGAAAGATCTGTAAAATGAGAATTACAAAATACAACTCAAAGACATCAGAGATTACACAAACAAATGGAGAAACTTTTCATATTCATGAATAAGAAGAATCAATATTGTTAAAATGTCCGTACTGCCCAAAGCCATTTACAGATTCAATGCTATTCCTATGAAAGTACCAATTACATTCTTCATAGAATTAAAAAAAAACTATTTTAAAATTCATGTGGAACCAAAAAACAGCTCAAATAGCCAAGGGAATCCTAAACAAAAAGAACAAATCTGGAGGCATCATATTACCTGACTTCAAACTATCATGCAAGGCTAAGTAACCAAAACAGCATGGTACTGGTATAAAAACAGAAGCATAGACCAATGAACAGAACTGAGAGTCCAGAAATAATCCTACACACCTACAATCATCTGATCTTTGTCAAAGTTGATGAGAACAAGCAATGGGAAAAGGACTCCCTATTCAATAAATGGTTCTCAGATAACTGGCTAGCCACATGCAGAAGATTGAAACTGAACTCCTTCCTACACCATATACAAAAATCAACTCAAGATGTATTAAAGATTTACATGTAAAATGTAAAAGTACAAAATTTCTGAAAGATAACCTAGCAAATGCAATTTTGAATATAGGAACTGTCAAAGATTTCACCGATGAAGATATCAAAAGCAATTGCAACAAAAACAGAAATTGACAGATATGACCTAATTAAGGAGATTTTGCACAGCAAAAGACACTGTCAACAGAGTAAACAACCTACAGAACAGGAAAAAGTATTTGCAAACTATGCATCCAACAAAAGTCCAACATCCAGAATCTATAAGGAACTTAAACAAATTTACGAGCAAAAACAAACAGCCCCATTAAAAAGTGGGCAAAAGACTTGAGCAGACATTTCTTTAAAGAAGACATACATGCAGCTGACAAAAATATGAATAAATGCTCAATAGCACTAATCATTAGAGTAATGCAAATTAAAACCACAAAGAGATATCATCTCACACCAGCCAGAATAGCCATTATTAAAAAGTCAATAAATAACCGATGCTGGCGAGGTTGCAGAGAAAAGGAACGGTTTTACACTACTGGTGGGATTGTAAATTTGTTCAGCCTTTGTGGAAAGTATTGCTGTGATTTCTCAAAGCATTCACAACAGAACTACCTTTCAAATCAGCATTCCAATTATTAGGTATATACCCATAGGAATATAAATCATTCTACCATAAATACACATGCATGCCTATGTTAATCACAGCACTATTCACACTAGCAAAGATATGAAATAAAACTAAATGTCCATCAACTGTAGATTGGATATAAAACATGTGGTAATATACACCATGGAACACTACACAGCCATACAAAAGAAAGAGATCATGTTCTTTGCAGCAAGATGGTGGAGCTGGAGGCCATTATTATAAGTGAATTAAATGAAAACAGAAAACTAAATCCTGCATGTTCTCACTTATAAGTGGGAGATAAACATCAAGTATATATGGACCCAAAGAAGGCAACAGCAGACATTGGGGACTACTTGAGAGTGGAGGGTGGGGGGAGAATGAGGATTGAAAAATTACCTATCAGACACTGTGCTCATTATTTGTTGATATGGTTTGGCTATGTCCCTACCGAAATCTCATGTTGAATTGTAGCTCTCATAATTCCCACATGTCATGGGAAGGACCTGGTGGGAGGTAATTGAATTATGGGGCAGGTCCTTCTCATACTGTTTTTGTGATAGTGAATAAGTCTCATGAGATCTGTTGGTTTTATAAACGGGAGTTCCCCTGCACAAGCTCTCTTACCTGCTACCATGTAAGACATGTCTTTGTTCTTCCTTCGTCTCTGGCCATGATTGTGAGGTTTCCCTAGCCATGTGAAACTGTGAGTCCATTAAACCTCTTTCCTTTATAAATTACCCAGTCTCGGATATGTCTTTATTAGCAATGTGAGAACAGACTAATACAGTAAATTGGTACCAGGAGTGTGATGCTGCTGTAAAGATACCCAAAAGTGGAATATGGTCACTCTGGGATCATTTGTGAGTAGGACTAGAGAGTATAAGTAAGCTTCATGAGCAGGTACTACAGACCTCCATATCATCTACTGTGCTGGCTCCAGCATCCTTCTTCAGCTTGCACCTATGGCCATATGAAGGAGGAAAAATATGCCTGAGCTTGGTTTATAAATATTTCGGCTGAGTATGTGGGTTCTAGCTGAAAATGAACAGCACTTGCATTACAGCCAAACTCAGGGGTATCCTTGAGGAAGAATAACATCTGACCAGGGTATTAAACTGTAAAGGAGGTATGGAAGTGGGCCCATGACCATGATGTACACAGTCATACTACATACTGCACCATTGAGAAGCAGCCAACTTCACAGAGAGCTTGAATGGCCTACTGAAGTCACAGTGATGAAGTATGAGCTCGGATGCAATACTCTGCAAGATGGAGTGCTGTCCGTGAGATGCAGTATAAGAATTAAAACAGATATTTCTATATGGTGTTTTATCCTCAATAGGAAAAACACATATGCCAAAAGGGATAGAATCAAGAGTGGCCCCACTTGCCACCATTCTCAAAATGACTCACTGGGAGCCCATGTGCTTCTTGTCACAGCAGCTCTGGGCTTTACAGAGTTATAAGTCCTTATCCCAAAAGGGGGACATAAAGCTTGCCAAGGGACATACAAGAGTCCCATTGAAGGACAAGTTACAGCTGTTGCTAGGGATCTTTGGACTCCTTATACCTAGAAACCAGATGTTGAAAAGAATCACCATTTTGAGAAGGCTAATTTAATCTGATAAGCAGAGGGGAGGTAGAGTTGCTTTTTACAATGTGGAAAGGAAAGGATATTGGTGGAAGCCACATGATCCATTTAGGCTTCTCTTTGAATCCCTTGCCCAATTTTAACTGTGAATGGAACCCGAGAAGGTTACAATTACTAAGGGTTCAGACCCTTCAGAAATGAAATTTCAGATTATAACACCAGGTAAGACACATAGGAGAATGAGAGGAATTTAAGATGAACAATGTAGGAGACCAGACCAGACCAGTTGTGGCCCTAAGATCAACTGGAAGGATAAGGACTATGGTTTTTCCTCTACCCTTCCTCTTTTAAGTTTTCCCTAAGGAGGAGAAGCCCATAGAACTTTTGAGGAGTGAATACGGATAAAGAAATGGATTTGTGCTGTGATGGTCAAGGGAAATTGCTGCTCAGATCTCACTTCAGGGGAGATTTTTCTGAGGAATAGCATCAGCTGACAGCCTGTGCTCATTTGAGATTCACCAATATTCAAGCTGCGGCTACACTCCCACTGGACTTCTCCCAGACAATGATTAAGCACTGTGACAGTACTAAGGCCTGGCTATTTCTGCCCAACACAGATTCCTCTAAAGAGCAGTCTTTGCTCTGGGCTCCCCATTGGCCTGCCTGAGATTTTCCCTGAGCTTCAATACAGCTGAGGCTCTTTTGTTTCCTTTCTCCTTTCATGGATGCCAGCTTGCATGGCAGTCTACAGTCTCTTCTTACCTACTTCGGCTCTCTCTCCTTTTACCTTTCACAAGTGTTTCACTGAATACGTCTTTTATACTTGTAATTATGTCTTTGCTTTTGATTCCTGGAGGATCCCTGATGTTCCAAGAGAGAAGACTGAGCAGCATTCAAGGTGTCGAGGGGAAGGGGTGGTGAACAGTGTAGTTGCCATTTACCAAATGATTTAGAAATATTGTAGTATTTTATCAACCATTACGGCTCATTCAATGTGTACTGGCTGAATATTAGTATTAGGTCGAAACTTCATCTGTTTCTCTAACCTGTCATTTCTTCAAATACCACTCCTCTATTATAGGTAACCACTTTTATTATTTTATTTTTTATACTACCAGAGTCTCTTTATGCAAATATAGGCAAATGCAAATATATGTCAGCTCTTCCCTTCTTTTAAAAACCCTATAAATAACATAGCATATCCTCTCTTTTGCACATTGATTTTTTTCACTTAAATTTATATTGAAGCTCTTTCTAGGTCACTACATAGAGAGCTTTATTATTCTTTTTCACATTCACAAGGCATTACATTGTGTTGAAGAACTGTCATATATTCAGCAAATCATTTATTGAGGGCTAATTGGATTGTTTCTAAACTTTTCTTATAACTTTTTAAAGTATATGTTATATAGACATATGTAAAGTTATTAAATGGCTTAGAAAAATAACACCTCTTTAAGAATTGGATCTGAAATGTTGTCATTTCTGAGAGCAAACTGAAGTGAGATATACCTAATGTAAATGACGAGTTAATGGGTGCAGCACACCAACATGGCACATGTATACATATGTAACAAACCTGCACGTTGTGCACATGTACCCTAGAACTTAAAGTATAATAATAAAAAAAAGATTATAACCAAAAGGTACAAAGCAGACTGGGTGAAGTAAAGGAGGCTGCCATACTTATCTCTGTCTATTTCTCTCTCTCTTTCCTTCCATACCAGTATCCTGTTCTCAGGAAATAATGTGACAAGCATATTCACAGAAATATGTAAAATGATTGAGATATGTGTGTTATTATCTCATGAACATTTGCAGTTTATCAGTAAATAAATAAATAAGGAGAAAAAGAAATAAAAGTAAATAATTAAGTTTAGAATTCTATATGTGTATGTGTGTAGAGGAGGTAAGGTGTTAAAGAAAAACATATTCACTGACACTCATTGAAGATGGTAAGCAGACTTTCTTCAAAGGGAAGCTATCATTGGATAGGTGTAGGGACCATGGGAATGGGGTATTTCACTGGAGGAGAGAGATTGGGCTCAACTCTGAATATAGAATGAGCAAGTAGGAATTTATAGTCAAAAAGCAGGGTGCTAGTCAGTGGATGGAAAATTACTGAGAGGTAACATCGGGGATAAGGGGGGATTCTGGCTATACTGACTTAACAGGATTCTAGGGTGATGAGAAATCACCTGGAAGATGATGGATGATGAGAAACCCGATCACATATTGAAGGATCAGTTATTAAGGGTGTAAGACTCTTGATAAACTGATTTAGCAGCTTTTTTGCTAAAACGGATTTTACAAGGGAAATGCCTAGATAGGCCTAGGATATGGTTCAGGAGTATGATGAAAGTTTGGCCAAACAAAAAATTTTTGTCAGGGGTTAATATCTATGTATATTCTCTATTTCTCTTAAGGGTGTGGAAGATCTGCTTCCTCCCTTTCATTCTCTATTTACTTTTATTTTGAATGCTAAGTAAAAGAGAAATTTAATGAAATATGGTAAGAGTATTGAAGCAGAGTACATTTGAACCCAAACTCAGAAATAGTTTCCAGACTGAAGCTTGAGAACATGGGGTAAAATGCTAAATTATTTTGGTATGAATAATTGAGACATTTGATAAATAATAAAAAACATGTCTATAAATCACTTCTGTAAATTATATGCAAAAAAGCAACTCTTGATACTCATGGAAGACTTGTTTTTATTTCAGTTCCACAGAGGTAGAAATGCTCATTTGAGAGTAGGTGGTGCTTACTGTGGTAAGGCCATTCTGTGAAACCAAGTGCTCAGTTGTTCTTTAAAGCAGCTTATGAATCCACGGTGCTTCAGGCTGAGGAGCAAAGTAGAAAAATGCAAATAAAAAGAAAGGCTTTATTTGTCTATTAATCAAGACAACTATGATGTGTTAAGGATCACACGAAAGCACAGACTGTCATAGTTGAAAGGGAACTTGGATATCATTTTTATTATTTCTTATTAAAAACGCAGATCCCTGGTCTCCACCCCAGACCTACCAAGTCAAAATCTGGGAAGATATAGTCTAGCAGTATGCACATTCAACAAGCTCCCTGAATAATCTTAATGGACACTAAAGAGTGAGAAGTACTGAATGGTAGTCCAATCATCAGTGTTTGTACAGGAGCCAAGGCCCAGCAATGTTACACCATTAGCCTAAACTTTCACAACTACATTAATGGATTAGAACTTTTAAAAATAAAAATATAATGTAAAAAATGAAAATGCATTTAAAATATCTTGTATTCACCCCAAATTACACCACACTAACACAATTATTTTCGAATTTGCATATTAATGCATACTTTTTATCCACAAAAATGAAGATTTCTGTTTAGTTGCAATCCCATAGTATTTTTTCTTGCTTATTTCTCTTAGCCTTATAGTACAAACTTTTCCCTCTAATTTCCTAGGCTCCATCATTATTATTTCAATGAATGCATACTAATCTGTTTCAGATCTTACTAACCCCCCTCTAATTTTATACATTATACAAATATATTATATACATTAATTTATAAGTATACATAGTTTTATATATTATACATTTATACCAAAGTTTTTCTCTTATAGACAGTATTGCAATCATGCTCTTTATGCATAGTTTGTTTTTTCTTCTTATTTTCTTCTGAAAAATTTTTATTATATTTATAGCAGTGGGATTATTGAGTCAAATATTATTTTATCATTTATGACTCTTCCTACATATTCCCATATAGGCCCAGAGGAAAGTTAAGCTGGTTTATATTGGTCCCCTTCTGAAGTCAGCAGTGAATAAATGTACTGCTGTCACTGAAGCTTCAACAGTTGTAAGATATATCTTATATATACAACACATATAAAAATTATATTTTATGTATTGATATAGTTAATATACATAAGATTTATATATATATAATAGTCGCATTACTAGGTGCAAAATGATCTCTTGGGGTTGCTCTGATTACTAATCATCGTCAATATATTTTTATGATTTTGCCTCATATTTATTTCCTCCTGTATAAATTATCTATTTCTATTTCTTGATTTTTTTATTATACAGATCTTGTTTTCATTCTCAGAAATATGTCTTATCATAGCACTCTTGATTCACAGTTCATTCTTTTTTTCTATATCATTATGTATCCCAAATAATTGAAAGAAAATGTTGGCTTGTTTTATCCTTAAATATATGTGGAATAACTTCTACCTGTATATTGTGATTTGGGAGAGGCACTAGAAATGTCACATTCTAGAACATTTCACATTACCCCAAATTCAAACATTTAAAATTCATTCATTTAGATTTTGAGTTTAAGATCTTTAGAGGCCTCGATTAAACCATAGTTATTATGGAAAGAGTAACCAAAATTAAACTTAATACCTTAGTGAGGAATTAGATTCATAGCTCAGAGAATGGTAGTAGCTGGTAGAATTTTTTTCCATATAGGAAAGAGTTTGGGTAATGTCTAGAAAATAAGACATTTTCTAAGAAAGACAGAGTTTGGAATTAGAAATTATTATTGACAGTCAGAGGTCAATGAGAAGACACCAAATCTCACAGCTGGTGATGAAGGAGTCTCTATGCTTGGGCACAGCAAAGTAGCAACACAGTAACACAGTTAAAAAATAGGAAAAAAAATTGTTAGCAAAGTGCATGCAATTTAAAAATGCATAAAAATGTTATCATATCATAGAACAAACCAGAAATTCCTCCCACCTATTTTATAATTTAGTGTTTGTTTTTTATTTTATTTTTTATTTCCATATGTTATTGGGGAACAGGTGGTGTTTGGTTACATGAGTAAGTTCTTTAGTGGTTATTTGTGAGACTATAAACATTCCAGAAGACAACATTGGAAATACCCTTCTAGACATTGGGCTTAGGCAAGGATTTATGACCAAGATCCCAAAAGCAAATGAAATAAAAACAAAGACAAATAGCTGGGACTTAATTAAACTACAGAGCTTTTGCATGGCAAAAGGAACAGTTAGCAGAGTAAACAAACAACCCACAGAGTGGGAGAGATTCTTCATAATCTATATATCTGACAAAGGAACAATATCTAGAATCTACACCAAATTCAAACAAATCAACAAGGAAAAAACCAAACAATGTCATCAAAAAGTAGGCTAAGAACATGAATAACATTCTTCTAAAAAAAACTTGTTGTGAAGAGGCATCACAATATTCTCTGCTGCTTTTATTTTCCTTAGCCTGTCATCATGCTTATCATGCCACTTGCCAACTCTTTCTCCCACCATCCACTTTGACTGGCTTCTAGGCTGTAAACTGTTTTCTCCTTCAGTTAGTTTCACCCTTAGGCATCATGCTATAATATTGCATCTCATAATATAATTTCACAGCCTGGTTCTGCTTTTAATTAGTTGGTAATTTTTGAATATAAACTTCTCCATTGTCTCTGTCAAAATCTTGCTTATCTTATATAACCAAGCTGAAATATTACTTCAGCTTTGTGGTATGAATAAAAAATTTATGAACTGAACATACTTAAATTTGATATTACCTAGCTCCAGCTGTGTTTATACAACTGCCAAGAAATTCTTTCATTCATTTTTTGGTAGTCCTCTAACAAATGCCACATTCAATTTTTCAGCAAATATTGAGTGCCCACTTTCTTGGGAATTTCAAATACATTAGTAAACAAATTAAAGAGCTTTGTCATCATGCAGCTTACTTTTTAGCAGAAGATAGATACAATGCACAACCATAATAATAACTGAGTAAATTACATAGATGAGAAAAGAATGTAAAGCTTCTTGGTTTTGTATAATATTTTGAGTGTTCCTATTTTCAGAGAAGGTTATTTTATTTAGAGAGGACAACTAAAACAAAAGCTGCTAGAATTTTTATTCCCTAGGTGAAAACTTTAACTTCCTTGAAAGAAATAGATATGCATTTTATATCTTCATTGATTTGAACAGTGCCTGACACGGAATATTTGCTCAAGGAATATTTATTGATAGATAAAACATAGTAATAAAGATTGATAATTCTCCTAAATATGACAAAATTCCAAATATAAACTTTCAACTTATTACCAAACTTTTAAGTTAATCAGTCAACAAATAGTTGTTAATTATCTTCTACATGCAGAATGATACTCTGAGTGTGACAGTAGTTGGAAAGAATTAGAACACAATATTAATATCAACCCAACAAATAGAGAGCAATATAAGTGTTACAGTGTTTTGAGGGAAAGTCAAGCTTTGAAGAAGACAACTGGAGAAGAAGGAGAAACCAATTGCAAGAAAAAAGAGGGGCAATATAAATGAAGGCATAAGGCAGTAATAGTAGTAATAAAGTCTTACATTTGTATAATGATTTGTCATTTATAAAACCCTTTCACACCTTTTTTTAATATTTGAACCTAAGAACAATTTGTTATAATGGGTAGGTTAGGTACTATATTTCTCATTTGCAAATGACTTTACCAGAATAACAGAAAAGGCCCCAATGGTGGATTAAATTTAAATTAAAAATGAAATTTAAAAAATTCATTTTTTTCTGATCTCTTGGAGCTTAGAAAGTGTTTGAATATAGGAGCTAATAGACAAAATTTAGGATGAGAAAATAGTCTAGGGATATACAGTTTGAAATGTCTACAAAGAAGTGAAAATTTAAGCCATAGTGGTAGACTAATGCTCCCAGAGTATATAGAGAAGAGTTGAGGTCTAATAACTGAGCCATAGAAAACAACTTTGAGTTGGATGTAGGAAGAGGAAGAAGTGTAAGAATTGAAGATATGGAAACAGTAGTAGGAGAGGAAAAAGAAAAGTAGTAGCAAGAAAGAAAACCACAATAGTAGAAACTCAGGGAAGTTAAGGGAAGAGATAGTTTTTATAAAGGCAAGAGATTACAAGTTAATGTAGGTACAGACAAGACCATAATATTCAGTGAAAGGTCATTGCAGGGAACTATTAAAAGAGCACTTTTTAAAAAAGAACTAAAGAAAAGGTACAGAAATGAAGAACAGAAGAGAAAAGTAGGGAAAAAGGGTAGGAAAAAGGTTACAAATATAATATTTAATGTTATAAAGGTAATTGGCAAATATATTAAAAACAAATGTAGGACTCAATTAGAGAGAAGAAGAGAGGATGATGTACACAACCTATATCTTTATCTTTTATGGAAGAAAACCAATGGAAAATGTGTAAAATTGAGAAGTAGTCATATAAATATATTATTCAGAGATATGGAAATAACCAGCAGAGGAAATAAAAACAGAAACATATCAGTAGGCACTTATATCTTTCTGTCTGTCTGGGGCATTCAGTTACACTGGTACTTGACTGTAACTTTATCAAATACAGTGGGATGGCTTCAAATTAAAACAACTCCAGTATTCTTTTCAATAGATAAAATCAGGTGACCAGGCGCGGTGGCTCACGCCTGTAATCCCAGCACTTTGGGAGGCTGAGGTGGGCAGATCACGAAGTCAGGAGATCGAAACCATCCTGGCTAACACGGTGAAATCCCGTCTCTACTAAAAATACAAAAAATTAGCTGGGCGTGGTGGTGGGCACCTATAGTCCCAGCTACACGGGAGGCTGAGGCAGGAGAATCGCTTGAAACTGGGAGGTGGAGGTTGCAGTGAGCCGAGATCGCGCGAGACTCTGTCTCAAAAAAAAAAAAAAATCAGGTAATGACAGTTTCAAAAATAAATTACCTCCAGAATCATGATTATATATTGTACAAAGATCTCGAAAATGTTTCAAAAACCTTTAGAAATCAGTGGTACCCAATAATTCATGAATCCTCCTAAGAATAATTTCTTGTGGTAATAATCTCCGTCCAATGTTACCATTATTTTTTTTGTGCTCTAGTGTGTCAGTCACTTCTACTATCTAGTTAGCCTCATATTCTATCCGTAGTCCATCACTGTTATGGGCAGACATATGACCGATATCTTTCAGGCAGGCACAACTAAGAAATGACAAATTCATCCCACTATGCTAGCCATACAATTTGAAATTACAGCTCACCTAGTTCAATTTTTCATTTTAGAGATGAGAAATCAGGCCCAGAATAAGAGAGGGATTTACTTGCTTTATTTTATTATGAAGGAACATGTGTCCCAGAAAAAAATAAAAAGTATAAAGTGAACCAAGTTCGACGGTTCTTATGTGTTTTACTTCAATTTGCGTTTTGACTGATTTCACCTGAAATAAGTACTTCCTTGAAGTGCTTTCCAGTTTAATACAAAACAACAACAACAACAACAACAACAACAACACCCACTTTCCTTGAATAGCAACAGTGAATCAACTTGTAGTCTCCTTAGTTTGGGTTTTCTGATTATTTAGTCTGTCTTCTTTTGACTCCTAATTAACTATAGAAATTGAAAGATAAGCTTTTTAATCAATTGCCCAGTATTGAGCATAATGTCATGTAACCTCTGCATGCTCAGAAAATGATAATTCCTCCTGGAAAATGAAATATGCTATCAATTAATTAATTTTATTGAGGAGAGGGTGGCAGTTAAAAATATTGATTGGTTTATTTGTTGAACTAAACATGTTCTAATACGTTGGTTTCTTTTACATTGTGCTCATATAACCTGGATGAAATTAAAAGCCACATGCATTGTTATTTGAGGGATGTTGATAGGAGTGGTGCTCCCTGAATGTGCATAATAAAATAGCAGATAATATACTAAACATCTTACATGTTTCATTTTCCTATAGGGAAGGTCTTATTAATATCCCATTTTATACTTGAGAAAAAATAATATTTCAAGTGATTAAGAAAGAAATCACTTAATATTTCAAGTGATTAAGATACTTTTGGGGAAAAGTATCCTGCTAGTAAGTGATAGAGCAAGGATTTAAATCCAAATTATTTGACTCCAAAGCTGTATGCAGTAGCCACTAGATTATACAACTTGCATGGGACTTCTGATTTTTCAAATAATGTATTTAATTCTTTTGGGAAAGACATTAAGACATCTCCTTTGTTAACTCATTTCAGTGCAATAAAACCTTGATTGTCACAATGCTCAATTTGGACATCGATGACAGTTTATTATTTACTAAGGACTAGTTTTTGTTTTAGTCCCTGTTAAAAACTACTCTGTGGAGAAGATAATTTTCACTAATACGGACAGCCAAGAAACAACCAAATAAATTATAGACGTATTTGATTATGTAAAAATTTAGTATTTGTGCACAGCAAAATACACTGCAAAATAATTAATAGACATGAAAGCTAGGGAAAATACAACAAGGAAGACAGATGAAGGAGTAATACCTATAATATGCAAAGATACTTTAATAAATGCAAGAAACATACAAATAACCCATGTGAAAAATGGACAAAGAATACAAAGAAATAATTCTCAAAAGATCAAACGTATGGCACGACAAACATTCAAAAGATATTTAAACAAACTAGCATTTAGGAGAATGCAAATTAAAGTACCAATGAGATATCATTATGCATCCATTAGAATGGCAAAAGTTAGGAGGAGCTGTAACAACTATTGCTGACCAAGATGCAAAGATGTATTATTTCTTTATTTTAAAATAAAACAATAAGAAAACCTCACTTCCTCCTGCTCCCAGCTGCCATACACTTTCTCTTCTGCTGCCAGATGCTACCACTGTGTGCATGTGTGTGTGTGTATGTGTCTGTGTGTGTTTGAATGTTTGATATGGTAAAGTGAACCTTAGAAAGACGTATGGAATGAAACATAGTAAGTTGTTGATAAGTGTTACCTAGAAAGGAGAAAAAAAGCGATGGGTGAAAGTGGGAATGAGAAGTAGAGAGATAAGCAAAAATAAAAGATGGAAGGAAAACAAATCACAATGTATGGTATTGACACAAAATTCTGTGTGTGTTTTCACAAGCAAGTTGGAAATAAGAACAATAACAATAGATGTATGTCTAACGACTTATATGGATGACCATGATATTGTCAAGTGAGAAAATAAGTTGTACTTTACTGCATGTGCATGATTGTATTTTGGTCAAAACAAATTATGTAATTCTCTCTCCCTCTCTCTCTCCCTCCTTACATTTGCTTGTACAAGGAAATGGTGTAAGAGAGAAAAATGGACCCCAGGCTGCTAACATTGTTTACCTCTAGAAGATGAGAAAATAGGGGGATTTGGCATCAGAAAGTGGACATGAGGATCTAAATGATTAGCTTTTCTTTACGTATTTTATATTGTTTCTGTTGTTGTATTTGTATTTTTGTTAATAAAGATTATATATACACATACAGAATGGAAAACAAAACACCCTAAACATAACACCCTACTTTTCTACCTTAGCATCTGGAATATAAAGAATTCTTCACTTACGTTTGAGAATATTGCTAAGATTTATAAACATAATATCAAATGTAAATAATCTTAATCCAGGAGTGTAAACAGTGCTGACCCTGAAACACAGCACTGCTTATGTGGTTCTTACGTGCTTATGTGCTACTGTGAGAATCACTAGGACTCCAGTGGAGGAGAAAAGGAGAAAAGCCATCATTCTTCAAGCCCATATTAAAAAAAAAAAAAAGGAAGGAGAAAACTCCATAAGATTCAATAACAAAGTTTGTTCATAAGTTCCCCATACACAATTGAGCAGGATACATAGGTATTCTCTTCCAGACATCCAATTAGAATATAAAGTGCATTTTTGTGACTACCCTCACTTAAAAAAATACTTGTTTTAATGACATATCTAGAGGAAAAATGCTTGGAAAAAGGGATATCCGAATGTCTCCTACTGTGATATGTAGCTCTTTAGAGGGACCAAATTCTCAACCAACTAAATATAACATAGGTGCTGTTTTTGAATCTGTGGACATATATTAAAATATATATTTTCATATATATAGCTGCTGTTTTTGAATCTGTGGACATGTATGAAAATATATATATATTTATATATATTTATATATATATTTATATATATTTATATATATTTATATATATTTATATATATATTTATATATATTTATATATATTTATATATATTTATATATATTTATATATATATTTATATATATTTATATATATTTATATATTTATATATATATTTATATATTTATATATATTTATATATTTATATATATATATTTATATATTTATATATATTTATATATTTATATATATATTTATATATTTATATATATTTATATATATTTATATATATATTTATATATATTTATATATATATTTATATACAAATATATATATTTTATATATATATTTATATACAAATATATATTTTTATATATATATTTATATACAAATATATATATTTATATTTATATACAAATATATATATTTTTATATATATATTTATATACAAATATATATATTTATATTTATATACAAATATATATATTTTTATATATATATTTATATACAAATATATATATTTATATTTATATACAAATATATATATTTATATTTATATACAAATATATATATTTATATTTATATATATATATATATTTATATATATTTGTATATATATATATATATATGAAAAAACAGGCTAGATTCACTGCCTGCATAGAACCTGAATTCTGATGTTGAATATAATTAACAAACAAATGAATAAAATATAATTTTATATAAATATAAATTCAGTGAAGCCAAATAATGTATGATGCAGTGTTCGGAGGGTGACTGCATAGTGGTGGATGAGAGGGTAACATAAAGTAAGGTAGTCAGGGAAGGCTTCTCTAAAGAGAACACTTAAGCTGAAAAACTAAATAATGAAAAGGAATAGACATGCAAAGATCTGTGGGAGGAATATTCCAATCAGAGGAAACAGCACATGAGAAGGCTTTGCAAGAAAACAATCTTGGTGTTTATGAGAAACAAAAAGAATGCCAGTTTGGCTAGATGACAAGAGAAAAGAGAAGAAGTGCTACATGATTATGGTGAAAAATGGGTAGGGGCTAAAGATTGTAGACACTGGAAGCTAGGGTAAGAAATTTTATTCTGCCAGACATGGTGGCTTACACCTACAATCCCAGCACTTTGGGAAGCCAAGGCTGGAAGATTGCTTGAGCCCAGGAGTTCAAGACCAGCCTGGGCAACATAATGAGTTAATGGATAGCTAGATGCTAATGATGGTGATGACTGGAGCAACGAAGGTGGTAGTAATGGAGATAAGGAAAGTGGATTCAGTCAGGACATATTTTGGAGGTAGAGTAAACAAGTCTTGCTGATGGATTACCTGTGTAGGGTGAGAAAAAGAAGTGAGAAGGAGATTATGTCCAGGCTTAAAAAAATCAACTGGCTGGATGGTGGTGCCATCTGATAAGATGAAGACAGCTAAGGGAGGAATAGAATTTAGTGTGGGGTTAAAAATATTATTTAAACATTTTAAGTATGAGATGCCCAGTAGATACTATAGTGGAGATTTCAAGTGGAGAGATTTTGGAGCTCAATTAGAAGGTCATAACTGGAGATATTAATTTTGGAATCATCAATACATAGATAATATTTAAAGCCATTTAACGCTATATACTCACAAAGGGAGGACTGTAAATAAAGAGTGTCCAGGACAAAGACAGGATCATTCCAATTTTTAATAATGAGGCAGAGAAGGATACAATAAAGGTGGTTAAAATCTACCAGTATGTAGAAATAAAAACAGGAGAGCACAGTCATAGAAGTGAAGTAATGGAAGTATTTCCAGACAGAAAGGTTAGTTTAAATGCTGTTGAATTATGAAATAAGATGAGGAGGGAGGAAAAGCCTATAGATATGGCCACAAGAAGGTATTTGGTAACCTTTAAAGGAAAAGTTTCAGTGGAGTAGTAGAGACAGAAAAGCCTAACTGAATGGTGGCAAAGCATATGGAAGTTTATTAAAGAGACTTGGCATGAATTGTACAAGCCTAGAACATACCCTGAAAGATAATTTTTTAATTAAAATTAATCCTTGTATTCAATTTTTTTCTTATATTTTATTTACTTTTCCTAAAAACTGCCTGTGGAAAAGAGTCTAGCTATTTGAGAGTCTTTCTTCTTACTTATCTTAAAAATTATTCCCCAGTGTACTTTTATTTCTTATAAGTATTGTCACACTAGTGGTTAGCCATCCATTAACTCAATCTGGTGGAGAAAGAAGATATCACCTAGAGCAAGGGGGTCATTAATCAACTTTGAGTCTCAAAGCAGAGTTTTGGGGTCTGCTGGGAGAAAGCTAGACTTGAAACCCAGGCTTTCTGAGAGTGATAAAAGATGTTTTTATCTTCCAAAAAATATTAATATATGAGAAGTAAATTGATGTACATATGTAAAGTTTTATTATAAACCAAAGATAGAAAATATTTGGAATATAAGATAAAATAGATCTCTCTGAGCCTAAAAGAGGAAATATAAATTTCTTGAGTTAGAAGAACAAGAAGGTGACAAGGGGGAGAAATGAGGAGAAGAAAGGGAGGAGGAAATTAATAAAAATGAGAAGTTTAGGGTCAAGAACTAGCTGTATCTACAGAAGCCGTGAGTTTAACAGGTCAGAGGGCAGCAGTCCTACGATGCTTAGAATAAACAATGAATACCATGCAAGCATAGGAAACAAAGATTGATGCCCAGAAATCATGTAAATGAGTTACACCCAACCAAAAATCATAGAGACAGAAAGGGAGGAAACATGTAGAATAGGGACTTGATATGGTTTGGCTGTGTCCCCACCCAAATCTCATCTTGAATTGTAACCTCCACAATTCACACATGTCGTGGGAGGAGCCCAGTGGAAAGTGATTGAATTATGGGGGCAGGTCTTTCCTACACAGTTCTTGTGATAGTGAATGAGTCTCAAAAGATCTGATGGTTTTAAAAACGGGAGTTTCTCTGCACAAGCTCTCTTTGCCTGCTGCCATCCAAGTAAGATGTGACTTGCTCCTCCTTGCCTTTTGCCATGATTGAGAGACCTCCCCAGAAATGTGGAACTGTGAGTCTAATTAAACCTCTTTCTTCTGTAAATTTCTCAGTTTCAGGTATATCTTTATCAGCAGTGTGAGAACTAATCCAGAACTCCTCTGTCTAATGTAATATGTCTATTTATGCTTTCCCTTACAATCAGACTATTGGGGAAGGGATTGAAGGGAAAGACTCCTGGATGAGAGAAGTAGTAGCTTTAAGTTGACAGAGTATTTACCTCCAAATAGATAAAGTTAACATGAGGTTTATAAATTAGAGAAGATATAGTTATTTCTGAAAAGTTAACTTTTGTTTCCTGATATCAGTTATAATGAGGGCTCATAAAAAATCCACTTGAGATATGGATTAAATAATTTAATTTTTTTGCACAGTTGAATCTTGGCATGTATTCCACCTGCTATGTATGAATTTTGGTTAATCTAGCTTTTACTGTATTCAGCAACTTCTCAGGAAATGTCTTTATATCTCGCTTAAATCTGCCCCTGTAGAAGTTTTAGTCAATTTTCATTTTTGTTCTTTTCCAAGTATAAAACTTAACCACTTTTTTTTTTGCAAAATGACCTTCTTTATACATAACTTCACGTTTTCTTAAATCACAAGTCATTTCTCTCTTCTCTAGTCCAAATAATTTCTATTCTCTTAAATTTATAACTTTTTGCAGTATTTTGCATCCTTGTGAGGTATTCTTTATTTTTCTTACCTTCGAGTCACAAAGTTGTCAATATTCTAGTAAAAGATAACTATTATTTGGAGAAAACATAAATTCAAACTTTAAAAAGTCTTTCATTTTATATCCATTTCAGCCTAAATATAAAACAGTAGTAAACTTACCAAAGGAGCATATCTTGGTTTTGGAGGTGGAGGAGGCATCTTGCACCAACAAAGACGTCTGACCTTTGGTGATGGTAGAGAAGGCTCACAAGCAGGGAGTGGTGGTTTTTCTCTTGATGGAGGAACTCTACCTGTACTTGCTTTTTCCCCTTTTTCATTGAATGTAGTCTTTTTGGATGACATTCTGAATCCTCTCTTTGATTCCAGTCCTTCCATCTTTGAATTTGCAGATGTGCCATCTGATTCATCAATTTTCTTCTTAGCCCCAGGTTTATATAGTGACTCTTCAGATTCAGTATCTGAACCTTTGATTTTTGTAGATGTTTTAAAGCCTGTCTTGGAAGATTCATCAAATTCAGCATCAGTAGACTCTGTGTCCTTTCTTGCATCCTTCTTGATATCTTTCTTTGAACCTTTCTTTTCCTTTGAGTGTTTCTTGTCCTTCTTTAACTCCAAATCAGATTCCATTTCAGTAGATTCTGCATTTTTCTTTGCATCCTTCTTTTTGTCATCTTTCTTTGAATCTTTCTTCCCCTTCTTTTCATCCTTTTTACCCTTTTTTGAATCTCCCTTCGGTTCAGAGTCAGCATCAGTAGACTCTTCATCATTCTTGACAGACTTTTTATTATCTGTCTTTGAATCTTTTTTATCCTTTTTTTCATCTTTCTGACTCTCCTTTGACTCCAGTTCAGATTCAGAATCAGTAGAGAATGTAATTTTCTTTGCATCCTTTTTCTTGTCATCATTCTTTGAAGCTTTCTTCAAATTTCTTGAATCATTTCTTGCATCCTTTGCATCTCCTGATTCAGTATCAGTAGACTCTGGGTACTTCTTTGTGTCCTTTTTCTTGTCATCTTTCTTTAATTTTTTCTTATCCTTCTTTGTATCTTTCCTTTCATCCTTTGAGTCTCCAGATTCAGCATCAGTAGACTCTGTGTCCTTCTTTACATCCTTTTTCTTGTCATCTTTCTTGACATTTTTCTTAACTTTCTTTGAATCTTTCTTAGCATCCTTTGAGTCTTCAGATTCAGCATCAGAGCTTTTCTTTGCATTCTTTTTTGTGTCCTTCTTTGTATACTTTGTATACTTCAAAGAATAATTCTTTGAATTATTCTGTGAGTAATTCCTTAACCATGCATCAAAATTTATGGATTCATCATCAGACTGTCCCACTAACATGAGGAAATCAACATTTAAACTATTTTCTGAGCAAATCTCTGATATGGGATCATTACTAGTCTTTGACCTCTTCAAATCTTTCTTTGGATTGTTCTTTGTATGTAGGAATTCAGTGTTTGTCTTCTTGGAATTCTTTGAATCTTTCTTATCTTTTTGTGAACAATTTTTTGAGACTGTCTTAGAATTTTGGGATTCTGGATTAGTTTCTGAACTGGATTTTGACTTCTTGGATTGTTCATTTTCATGTGATGATTTTAAGGGAGTTTTATCTGCCTCATTTTGTCTTTTAGTTTTCTCTTCTACTATTTGCTTGGATTCTGGATTTGTTGCATATGAACCTCCTTTTTTCTTGGAATCTTTCTTCAAAGGTGTTCCTCCTTTTTCATCTTTGGACTTTTTATATTCTGCTTTTTTAAGATGGGTTTTGGAAGTATAAAGATGTCTGAATGGAGTCTGTTCCCTGGCAGCTGTGTAAATGGGTGGCCATTGCAAAATTTTTCTGAAAGAATGCCTTATCCATTTATGAGCTGGTTTCTGGCCTTCTTCTAGTTTTCTTTTGTCATGTCTCTGAAAAGATTGGTTAGAATAATAAGCATTTGTGAATGAGTTTTATCTTTCTATATTGAAACATAAAAAAGTTTATATTTTTATTAACCATCTATTTAAACTTAGTTTTTTTCTCTTTCAAGGTTGTGTCTGTGTGTGTGTGTGTGTGTGTGTGTGTGTGTGTGTGTAAGAGAGAGACAGAAAGAGACATATAACTCCACTTTGGAAATAAAATGACTTTAGTGGGAATTTTATGATTCCATTAATGATTCATATTGAGATTAGAGCAGGCCCACAGTGACTCATGACATTCCAGGACTTGTCCTCAAATACCAACAGTAGGCTTTTGGGACTTCTATATGGGGAGAATCTTTTGGAAAATATTGAACACTGTTTATCCCCAAGTTAAATCAGAAATAAACTGATCCACTTGAAGTTTGTTATGACAGTTCCTGTAATAGTTGTAAAACCCTAGCCTAATTTCTACTCCTGCTTTTAAAGTGTCTTGTCAAATTGAGAGTCTGTGACCCCAACTGCACTGCACAAAAAAAAGAAACAAAGGCATAAACTGAATGAAATAAACAGATGCTTGATTCACATTAACTTGTGCAGCAGTGGTGTAATTTATTTTCAAATCTCACCCAAATATTTGCCAAATCTTGTAGTCATAAATAACCATAAAGACTGATTTTAAAATTACTTCTTATTTTCCCTCAATTATTCAGTAGAGGTGCCAACAAGCAAATGGTAATATGGAATTAAAAGATGACCTGAAGAGAAACATGAAAGTTGGATCACTAAAAATGTAATAAATGACCCTTGAATAAATGCATTGACTGTAACTTTGCTCTGGGAGATGCTTTAAAAATTGTTTGATATCATAATAGGTGACCTATATATGCTTATTTTTCCTTTTGCTAATTGATAGGATAACTCGACTTTAGAGAAACAGTAGAAAACTTGAATCTCTTAATATCGTCTCTGAATTTCATATTTTGTAAAATAAGGAGGCCTTGAAACCTCATCAAGATCAGTTTCTGCTCTAATATTTAAATTTTAGCTGCTTTTTGCAGCTGGTAAACATGTCCTGATAGAACTTGCCAGGTGCAGTATTAGGTTCTCCAGCTTGCTTAGATAATGTCTTTGATGTGGATAATTATGTACAAATATGAGCTTAATCTAAAGCAGGTAGGGGCAGTCTGTTGTACAGAGAATTACAAATTTAAAAATATCTTCCAACAGGTAGTAAAATTCAAGTTATATAGGCCTTACTTATATTTATATATGCTTTACCAACTTAGATTTCGTTTTTAAAAATGACTTTTTCTATACTTACAGTAACTGTTATTTGTGATTTCAAAGGTCTTGATTTATCATTTGTACCTCTCTGGAGTGGTTTGGGAAATGTCAAAGCAAAGTGTTTTTGATTCCATGATTTTCTGCTTGATTCACTGACTAAATGAGAAAGGATAATAAACAATTTGGAGTTAATGTCAGATTTTCCACAGACCTGAATTATTCTTGAGTAAGAAACATATTATTTAAATTAAACTAAGTTATACATTAAAATATAGATTTTTTCCTCAGAGTTCCTAGTTTATTTGCATAGCAATCAGAGAAAATAAAAACCATTTTTCTTATTTATCATTGAATTTTATTTAAAATGAAATTTGTAATTTTATTTTCTACATTAAACTAATTTTCACAGATATTTAAATCATGATGGTAAAATTATATAATCAGACAGTAGGAATAGAAAATAGAGATTTACTGTTTCCTTGAAAATATCTACATCATCTCGTCTATCCTGTTTTTTTTTCTTTATGTCACTTTAGTTAGATTGCAGACAATATAACTTCTGCTATAGTCTTCATAATAACTAGCACGGTGTTGACAACAGTCAGTAAAAGTCTTGATTGATTACATCTGAGTGTTTCTTTTAGCACCTCTCTGACCTCAGTGGCATCCCGAACCACAGGAATTAGGGCCCTAGGTGGAAATACTGCATTCCATTTTGGGGATTCTATTTAAAGAAGGCCATATACATACTTGAGGACAAGAATAGGGTGATCAGGAAGATCAAACTATCTGAAAACTATGTCAAAAGTGGAACTGGTAACGAAACTCAACATAGCTCTCTTGGAGATGGAGAGACTAACCAGAGATACGGTTACTATATTTAGATTTTTAAAGAGCTGCTACATTGGCAAAAAGTAGTCATAGTAATAACAGCATAGCTGCAACCACTAACACTTATGTAGTGTTTACTATGTGCCAGACTGTGTTCTAAGCATTTTAGTAAACTTGTTTAATCTTTACAACAATGCTTTGAATTAGATAATGTAATTGTCTCCATTTTACAGATATGGAAAAATAAAGCACAGAGAGAGGGAGAGGTTAAATTAATTGCTAGCTTATTAATTATTTATTATTTAAAGCTAGTAAGTAGCAGAGTTGATTTGAACACAGGTACTTTGGCCCCAGAGCCCATGCTCTTAATCACATTGTTATAGGCTTCTTTTATATGTATCCTGAGGGGTGGGCTAGAACCAATGGGTAATATTTATAGCAGTGCAGGCAGACTTCAGCTCAGTATATTAACGTAAACGTTCCTAAAGTTGCAGCTGTTTAACAAATGGGCTGTTCATTAACTGTTTTCATCTCTCTGACTATATTTGCCTTCTTTACTGTAATTATGAATTCTAAACACAAGGGAATCTTATACAAGTAAAATTGGTTTGTATTATGAAGGAGAACAAACTAAATAAATCTTTCTTCAAAACCAGTGAGTGCAAATCTACATCAAGGCCAGAGATATACACACACATACACACCTACCAACATACATATATAAATATCATGCATACATGCTTTTATAAAATTTTTATAAAAATTCATAGCAGTTTCTGCTTTATCACATTTAATGGAATATACTTGTCATTAGTTCCTAAAATTGTTTTCCAATCTAAGAAATATTAAACTTCATTAACTAAATTCTTACTTGGAATGGAATTATCATATGTTCTGATGTTTACTTTTAGCCTATTAAAAGAAGAAAATGCTTTAATTAAATTTGTATTATGGGCAATAAATAAAAATAACTATTTTTTTATGTAATCTATCCTTTATTTCTAAAAAAACAAAGCCCAATGCTATGTTTAATCAGTGATTTGGAACTGTCTTATTGTCACTCATTATTATAACAAATTCTTCAATTGCAACACTTCAAAAAATTTTATTCATTCTCTTATCTCCATTTTTAAAGAATGTCTACCTTTAATTCGTATTAATCTCCCTATTATAAACCAATTGTGGTACATATCCACTATGGAGTACTATGCAGCCATAAAAATGAATGAGATCATGTCCTTTGCAGGGCTATGGATGGAGTTGGAAGCTATTATCCTCAGCATACTAGAGCAGGAACAGAAAACCAAACACCACCATGATCTTACTTATGAATGGGAGCTGAATGATGAGAACACATGGACACATAGAATGGAACAACACACATTGGGGTCTATCAGAGGGTGGAGGGTGGGAGGAAGGAGAGGATCATAAAAAATAACTAATGGGTACCAGGCTTAATACCTGAGTGATTAAATAATCTGTACAGTGAACCCCCATGACACAAGTTTACCTATATACCAAATGTGCACATGTACTCCTGAGCTTTAAAATTTAACAAAAAGATAAACTATAATTACCTTTCTATATACCAGTGAAAAAACATTTAGAAAATATTTTAATAATACCATTTATGAAATCAAATAAAAAATAGCAAATACCCAGAAATAAATATAAAAATATATATGTATAATAGCTTTATACTGAACAGTAGAAACTTTTAAGATAAAATTTTAAAAAATACACAAATAGAAATATATACCATGTTAGAGTGTGAAAGGCTCAGTAATACAAAATGTAGCAATTATTTTCAAATTCAAGTATTAATTCAATGCAATCCCAATAATTTTTAAATGTTTTTGTGATTACTGTCTAGTGATTCTAGCTTTTATATGGAAATAAAGGATTCGAGAATATACAAGACAATTTGGAAGTAAAATAACGTGAAAGATATATAATGCCACATATTAATATACCAAGTTATTTTAAAGTGACAGTAATTAAGATAATGGAATATAGATACAAAGAAACATAACTAATTATGTGGAATAGAAAGCAAAATAAGAGACCTATATAGATAAAGTCACACAAATTATACCAAAGTTTTCATGCGCTGGGGAAACATGGTGTTTTCAATAAATGATTTTAATCAATTAAGTATCTACAAGGGGAAAAGTGTGATTCTTGACCACCATTTCACAATAAGCACCAGAATCAGTCTCAGATAGACTGAAGACCTAAAGCTGAACTGTAAAATAATAAAACTTCTAGGAGGTAACAGAGGAGAATATCTTAATGATAGTAGAGTAGACACATATTTATTAAACTGGGCATAAAATCTATAACCATAATGAAATATAGTGATATATTGAGCTCCCGTTATCTAGTTATTACAAACTGTACCAGTTTTTCCTCCTCTAATAATGGAAATAGAAAATAAATAACTAAATAGAAGAAAATACACATTTCTTTGAACATCATGACAAAGATTCTTTAGAGAAATAGCATGGTTATGACAACAATATGAATAATAGGTAATATTTTCATTGTGCTTTTATAGTGTTTCAGTGTTCATAATAAACTTTCAAATTTGCAATTTTTTAATATAGTTGAATAATTATATTTGCTTGATTTGATCTGGAGTGAAATCCTGCTCTTAAAATATTTTATTCCTTTTCAGTTTATGCACTCTCTACTTCAAATCTACTATTTATAAACATAACTTTCTTCTTGTCCTATTGTTTTTGCACCATTTATGTTTAATTCATCATTTTTCTTTAAACTTTATTTCCTGATAATCAAATGAATTTAATCCTCAAACTTAGACAAGAAATTATGCTGTAGTTTTCTCTAAATTTTTCATTCAACAATTAAACATTAAGTATTATTGAAGGCTGAATAATAAAAAATATCCGTATTTTAATTTCTAGGACCTTTGCATGTTATCTTATATGACAAAAGGGACTTTGCATAAGTGGTTCAGTTGAGAATCTTGATACTGGAAGGTTATTCTGGATTGTTCAAGAGGGCACAAAATGTAATCACCAAAATTATTACAAGAGGAAGGAAAGAGGATCAGAGGAGGAGAAGGCAAAGTGATTATGAAAGCAGAGACTGGAGTGGTGCACTCTGAAGGAGGAAGAATGGGGGCTAGTCAAAAATTATGAGCAGCCACTGGAAGCTAAAAATGGCAAAGAAATAGATTTTCCCCTCAGAGTTTAGAAGAAACCAGCCTTGCTAACACCTTGATTTTAGCCCAGTGAAATAGATTTTAGGTTTTTGACATCCAGAACTGTAAAACTATGTTGTTTAGGCTACTATGTTTGTGACAATTTTCCACAACAACAATAGAAAATTAATACAAATGTTGGTACCAGGAGTGGTTGTTGCTGTAACATATATTTAAAGATGTAGAAGTGGTTTTGGAACTTGGCATTGGGAAGAGATTAAAATAATTTTGAGGAGTGTGATAGAAAAAGCCTTGACTGCCTTGAATAAAACTGCTAGAAAATATGGTTGTTGAAGACTTTGTTGGTCAGAACTCAGAGAAAGTGAGGAACATTGTAGAAGAAAGCCTAAATCATCTTTGAGAATACGTAAATCATCATAAAAAGACTTGATGAAATATGGATTTTAAAGATGTTGCTGGTAAGAATTCAGGAGGTAGTGAAAAACATGTTATTGAAGACTGGGTGAAAGATAATTCCAGCTGTATAGTGGCAGAAACAGCTGAACTGTGTTCTACAGTTATGTGAAGAACATAACTTGAGTAATGAACTTGGATATTCAGTTGAGGAGATTTTCAAGGAAAGCATTGAATGTATAATGCAGTTTCTTCTTGCTGCCTATAGTAAAATAAGAAGGAAAATAAATATAATTAAGGAAAGAATTGCTATGCAAACAATCACCAGGACTTAATTATTTAGGAAATTCTCACTTTATGCAGATTTTAAAAGATGATAAATTAAGGTTCACTGTCAGGGAAGTGTTCTCCAGAGAGAATGCTGAGTGGGGCTGGACAATATTTTGCTAGTGTTGGAAGATAAAGCATGTGACTTATGGATGTGATCAACCATCTCAGCAAAAGCCAGGAATATAGACTAAATATATAAAATATTTTGTGTACAAACATCTGTGGAGGAACCTTTTTTTTAATGGCTGGAATCCTCATAATATACACAAGAGAAGCATGAGTTTCTGAGAATGTTATACCAGCAGAAACACTGAGAGTTTGGGATGCAAATGGACAGAGAGAGGAAGGATGAAAGAATTAAACGGACAAATCTATACAGGCAGGAATCAGGCTGGCAGAGTGACTCAGTTGCAAACATGTGCTATACTTTAAGAAAAATGATGGCTAACTCTGAGGATAGAGCTGAAAGCCCAGGGGTGGAGCCATGGGCCAAGGTAGTGGAATCTCAAGCCGCAGTAGATGATTCACAGACATTGATATCTAACAGAGTTTACTCAGTTTGACTTAGAAATTGCTTGAGGCCAATGATTCCATTTTTCTTTTATTTTCCCATTTTATGGAGTTAAAATGTCTATGATTGTTATTCTATCCATGTTCAATCATTGTATTTTTGGAGCAGAAAATGTGTTTTTTAATTTTACAGTTCTACAGATATAGGGTAATTTCACCCCAGGATGGAACACTTACAGAATCTCACTATATCTGATTTAGATGATTTACACTATAGCAACTGGGACTTTAGAGCTGATGATATTTGGATATGATGTTGGACTTGAGTTAATACCGAAATGAGGTGATAGTTTTGTAGATGTTAGTTTAGTTTTGAGTGACTGTATTTGCATGTGGGATAGACATGAATATTTGGGGTTCAAGACAGACTGTGGTAGGCTGAATAATATACCCTAAAGATACAATTTTCTAATCCCTGGAAGTTTTGAATCTTACCGTACATGGCAAATGACAATTTGCAGGTGCGATTAAAATCTTAGATTATCCAGGTGGGTCCTCAGTGTTATGACAATTGTGCATATAAGAAATAGGTAAAAGAAGATTTGATTACAGAAGAAATGCAATATGACAACATTGCAGAGATTAGAATGATGCAGTCAAAAACCAAGACATGCTAGCAGCCACAAGAAGCTAAAAAAGGCAAGGAATACAATAGCTTCTGATGCCTTCAGAAAGAATCAGCCCTTCCAATAACTTGATTTTAGCTCTGAATGACTCATTTTGTACTTATGTCTTCCAGAAATGTAAGAGATTAAATTTCTATCATTTGAATCCACAAAGTATATGGTAATTTGTTACAGAGGCAATATGAAACTAATCAAGGTAACATGCACAGAGGTTTTTGCAATAATCTAAATAAGAGATCAAAATGGTTTAGAGTTGGTGGCAGAACTGATGTTGAGACTAAATTCTAGATATATTTTAAAGGTAAGCCCTATAGGATTTGGTGATGTACTGGATGTTCACTGCTAGAGAAAGAGGGCAATCGAGGATGATGCCAAAGCTATGTTGGTGCGTGTGTGTGTGTGTGTGTATGCATGTTTATGTTTGCTTAAACAACTGAGTGAATAGTAGTGCCAATTTCTGAGATGCAGAATACTTATGGATGAGCAGGTTTAGAAGGGGTATAAAACAAGAATTTTGTTTTGCACATATTAAGTTTGAGATATCTATTACACATCAAAGTGGAATTGTCAATAAATTAGTTGTACATATAAATCTGAAAATTAGAGGTGTGGTCTGGAACAGAGATATAAATTTAGAATTCATCAGCATTTAGATGGCATATAAAATCATTGGAATGGATGATATTGTATACTAAATGTGTGCAGATAAGAAAAAAAGAGGTCCAAGATCTAAGTTTTTAGGCTATTCAACATTTAAAGACTGAAGAGGTAAAGAGAAACCAGCAACAGAAGCTGAGAAGGAATAGATAATATGATAGAAGGAAAACCAAGAAAGCAGAGTGACATGATAACCAAGAGAAGAATATTTCATGAAGGGGCTCAGTTGTATCAAGTGCTGCTAGTGGAATTGTAAATGTGAAAGCCATTCCATGGAATGGTAAGGACAAAAATCTGAAATAAGTTTGGGAGAGAAAAGAAACTAGTAATAGTGATTATCTCCAGTAATGGGTCTGGGAATCTAGTATAGGAGAATGAATTTTGCCAACTCTCCTTTTGTTCTTTTTGAATTATCCACCATATATATGCATTCAATTTTTCAATTAAAATCTAGTTTAAAAAGAGATTGTTAATTGGAGAAAAGGAAGTAGAGATAATATGAATAATTATTTTGGGAAGTTTTTCTATATAAAGCTGACAGAAAATGGGGTGGGAGCTGGAAGAGGCTGTGAAGGAAAAGGGATTTTTTAAGTGGAAAAGGGATTTTTAAGTGGTAGGAGTTACTACTTTTTTTGAACACTGATGGGACAAAATCTACAAAGAGTTAAGAAAAAATGATGATATGGAAGAATATGAGTTAACAAAAAAGCTATATGCATAAATAGTGAACAAAATCCAATCCTGTGTTATGAGTCGAATTATGTCCCCCAAATTTATATTTAAGTTCTAACATCTGGTACTTGTGAATATTACTTTATTTGGAATTGGATCTTTGCAGATGTAATCAAATAAAGATGAGATCATACTGAATTAAGTTGTGCCCTAATCTAAGTGACTAGTGTTCTTATAAGAAAAGGAAATCTTTTTCTTATAAGAACAAAGGGAGAAACAGACATAGACAAAACGTGGATGCCATGTGATGATGAAGGCAGATATTGGTGTAATGCATCTACAAGCCACACAATACCAGGAACAGTCAGACTAGGAGAGAGAGGCACGGAACAGAGTCTCCCTTAGAACCTCTGGAGTAAACCAATCCTGCTGACACCTTGATCTTGGACTCGTAGTCTCCAGAATTGTGAGACAATATATGATGGTTTTAGCCAATCAGTTTCTGGTAGTTTCTTACAGTAGCCTTAGGAAACTAGCATGCCCAGTTAGAGGAGTTAAATGCAGCAAGAAGAAAGCATCTGCTCTAACAGGACTGAAGGTGTGGTGTTGGGGTAAAGATGAATGCAGACTATTATATTTTCTGGTGGAGAAATGTAATTGCCAGGTAGCATTAATGGCCCACTTGAAGTTTGTCATTTTATATTTAAATTGAAGATAATTATTATGGTTACACATTTTTTTTCTCATGCTCATTTATCTTGCAAAGGTGTGTGGCATGATTAGAGGTTTAAATTTACTAAAAATTAAGTGTTTTTTTCAGCAAAGATGTCAAAAAATAGAGTGGGATAAAGGGAACTGAGGATGTATGCAAGGAAATATTTGTGCTAATTCACCATGAGCCTGTAAAAATCTAAGATAGGTAAGGATTTATGGTGGGCAACAGAAGAAAAGCCACAGAAAGGTCATTAGCAAGGAACAGGGAAAAGGTAGTAGAATCAATGATCAGTCTTAGAGGTAGAGTTGTTGGAATGGGGTTATTAGAGGTACCTGACATATCAGTTGGAGAGTGAAATGTTTGAATTTGAGATTTTGGAGGGATATGTGCAGTAGTAAACCACTAAAGTAGGATGTAAGACAAAATAACTGGAGAAGAGAAAGTCAAATAATTAAAATGTTAGATATGAGATTGATCACCTAATAGTAAAATTACTAGGAATTAAGACAAAGGTACTTTTGGAGAAAGTGATAGCCAGACGGAAAATCATCACAAAATGAAGTAGAGTACTAGGAGTCAGGTGATGAATACAAGGAAAGGTCACAGGTGATATAAGTTGATGACATGAGATTCAAAGTTGGCTATTTTTGGAAGTAAGAAAGGAGAATGACCTGGAAATAGCATTGAGGAATAAAGCAGACTTTATTGCATTTTTGGGTTCAGTGGTAGGAGAGGATGTAGGAAGGAAAACATCACCCCCTCTTGAAGGCTGCAGGAAAAGCAATGAATTTGAGAGAGAGTTGGGTTTCAGATACAGCAAGAGGACAGAGTTATCATTCAGATTGGAGTCAGAGGAGGACATAGAGGGTGTTGCTGATGACAGTGAGTTTCAAAGAGATAATGCCTAATGGTGACATAAACCTAAGGTCTTTGTGATCTAAGAGGGAAGATCAGATGTAGGCAGAATCAAATTAGAAATGTCTTTGTAAAAGCGCTAGTGATTTGAGACGCTCACTTTGGGGAGCTCAATTTTAATTTCTAGATCAAATCACTCTTTTTCTTTTCTTTTCTTTTCTTTTTTTTTGAGACGGAGTCTCGCTCTGTCGCCCAGGCGGGAGTGCAGTGGCGCGATCTCTGCTCACTGCAAGCTCCGCCCCCCAGGTTCATGCCATTCTCCTGCCTCAGCCTCCCGAGTAGCTGGGACTACAGGCGCCTGCCACCACGCCCGGCTGATTTTTTTTTTTTTTTTTTGTATTTTTAGTAGAGACGGGGTTTCACCGTGTTCGCCAGGATGGTCTCGATCTCCTGACTTCGTGATCCACCCGCCTCGGCCTCCCAAAGTGCTGGGATTACAGGCGTGAGCCACAGTGCCCGGCCCACTCTTTTTCTTTCTTTCAAACTTATTGAATTTTCATTTTCTAAAAGTAATACACACTAATAGAAAAAAATATGAACATTACAGACATGTATCATTTAAAGAGGGAAAATGTCTGCAATTCCTTTCTAGGGAATAATTCTCCAAAATTTGAATTTCTGAGTGAAATATTTTCTAAATTTTCTTTTTATTTCGAATTTGTGCACTTTTTAAAGTTTACTGGCAATTAAGATTTTTTCCTATAAATTGCCTGGTCATATACCCATATTTTTATTCCACATTAATTGAATTTTTTTCATAGACTTTACAAGTGTTTTTTATTAGGTTGTACCATGAGAAATTTCCATTTTTGTAGGTCAAAATAGTTTAATATAAGCAATCTCATATAGTTCAATTTAATATATATGGGATATTATCTGGTAGGTGTAAGTTAGCATGGCTTACATTATCTTAATTTTTAAACTACTTTCAGAAATATTCTTTAAGAGGAAATTGACTTTTAAAATAAAAAACAACACTACAGCAACTAAAGACTTCAGAAAACTGTTTAATTCCATATGAATAATACTTTATCTTCTACTTAATGAAGTCTTTAAAAAATAAACTTACTGCACTTTCTTGGACATAATAATGTATTTATCAGAAAAATAGAATGGTCTAATTTTGCCTACACATACAATTAAGTTTACCAAACTAGCATACAAAGTCTTACTACATTGTATCCTGCTTTACATTTTAAAGTGCTTTCACATAAGTTTATTCTTTCCATGATTCCTAAAACAAGATGTAGTTATAAGAAACTGAGACTCAGAGAGATCAAACAGTCAAGATTCGCAGGTATTTTGTAAACAAGACTGCACTAGTGAAATTTCAAAGCAAAACATCTAAGATATTATTGAAAATTTCATATCTCTGTTTAAAATACAAGTTCTAATTCATAAATAAAACGACTATGAAAGAAACATTCTTTACAGTTAAACATATACATTTGTAACTAAATTGAGCATATTGGCTATTTAAAATACTAAAAAAATATTAAAAAGAGGACTTACAACCTTGGAAGAGACATTTCCCCTGCCTGTACGTTGCCTGGACTTGAGCATAGTAAGTTGAAACTGGTAATGTTGAGTGATGACATCATAAAGGGATTGTAAATAAAAGAAATTTAAAAGGGACAGAGTAGTCATATTTTAAAGTGCACAGGTGTTTTTGAAACCTATTTTTAAATTGTGGATGTGTTCACACTCCACTTTTTAAAACTTGAACTGAATTAGTCAGTATTCATTAATTGAATCTACCTGTTTGGTTTATTAAATATTTAATTATTTCATATCAGCCTATTTTAACACTAACTTTGAATGTGCATGTGTGCACAAAGATGTGTTTATGTGTGTATATTTGTGTGTGTAAGAGATATATGTGCTGAAAGGAAAATAGAAGAATATAAGTTTTCCTCTAAAAAGAGCAGTGGTAGCTTACTACATTTTCTTCACTTTTAGGCTTTTCTCCTCTACAACCTTTTTGTACATTTATAGTGGTATTTCCATAAAATAACTTGAAGATGTCTTATTCTTGGATATGTAAATTCAGCAAAAGTAAACTATCTATTAAACTACTATTGACAAATCTGAAAAAAACTTTTCACCCAAAGCTTAAAACAACTCTTATTATGCACAGAGTTGTGTTAGAACAAGTTATAAACAGCTACTTGGTATATAAAACCCATAAATGTGAATTATTCATTATAGATAAAAAACCTTTCTGGGCAGGTAGGAATGTATACAGGTAAAATTGCCCATATGTGTTTTAGATAACAGTGACCATATTTCTAGCCACAGGAGAAAAAGCAATTCATTAGTTTTTATTTTTCACCACTTTTTGTCATTGAATTTTTATTTCATTTTTGTAAGTTTATATTTCTTATATAATAATGATATTTTATCTTTTAATGAAAAAAATGTGATCCAAGACACCAAGATAATTTTTACCTGAGCAGTACAAAGCAGTATATCTCATAACTTTTTCATTGAACAAACTAATTTCACAAGCTAGTCAAATAGCATTATCTTAAGGAAGGTAATATAAGGCCATTTAATTTCTAAGTAAAAGTGAACCACTATTATGTATTTGAAAGGAATATTAACTATGAGTTAAAAGCCATAAAAATGTAATTTCACTCCTCTGGCAGAGTAAATTCATTCCTAAGTAAATTAATATTTAGCACAAAGGCATTAATTACAGTTCTACATAAATATTAAAATCTAGAAATACTCTAAATGTTCGAAACTACGGAATGGTTTCAGTAAATCCTATATTTTCATGACAGTAGGAATCATGTTCATTTTGCTCATCATCATATACTTAACATTTACTTGAAAAAATGGAACATAAAACTATTCATGCAGTTTGATATATATCATATAAAGCAAATAAATTTATTGTAAAAATTGATGTAAACACATAAAAATGCTAATAATTATAGGTAATTTTTCTGCATATAATATTTTGCATTTAAACATTTCTACAAGTAGAGTGACATCAGCAAGATGCCAAAATAGGTGGTCCCAGGCTTCACTCCACCACAGAAATATCAACTAGCAACTATAGAAAATAAAATTTAAAAGAACAACTTGGTTAAAACCTCAAAATGTGGGAATTATCCTAAGTCAACTGCATGCTCAATGGAACAGAATGAAAATCTGCATTGAAATGGTAGCAGAAACAGTTTCACTCTGAGCATATCACCCCTCAAACAGCCCCAGGTTGGCACAGCACCACACAGAGAGGATTCCCCAGGATTTATGGCATCTACAGTGGGAAAAGATGACCAGGGAAGTTGACATCCAGCTTCCCCGGCATTGTGAGACAGGAGGCCTACTCAGTTTCCACCTTATGGGAAACAGGGAATATAGAGGGAAAATTCATAAGTAGACCACTTGGGATCAGGTAGAAATGAAGAAAGGAAACAGAGCCCAAGGAAACCAGTGAACAGATTTGGGTGGTAGCTCAGTGTACCAGCTAGCAGTGGTGCTCAATCAAGCTGCAGTAAGAATTAATCAGCACAATGACAACATTTGATATTACTAAATTAGAAGAACAAAAAGAAAAATGAATAAAAAATAATGGAGAAAGTCTATGGGAATTATGGGACACCATTAAGAGACGGCCTGTGCCTAGTAGGAATTTAAGAAGTAAAAGAAAAAAAAAGTGTCAGAAAGGATTCTTTTTTAAATAACGGTACCAGCTAGCAACATCCTACCCACAAAACCAAGCAGCCAAGCTGATCACTGCCAGAAGAAGTGAAAAGCGCTACCTGGCTTGAATCCCTAGATGGCCAGCCTCCAGGTCCATCCTCAAACCCTATCTGGGGCCCCACCCAGAAAGACAGACAACCACCACAGCAAATTTTTACAAAAGTGATGCACTAGTTGTGCCATACCAGAAGATTTAAATCGTGCTCCAAGTGGCCTCAAAGCACACCCACAAATGCTACCCAGGAATGGAAGAAAATCTCAAGCATGTATTTCTACTGAGCTTAATATTTATTCTATTCATTTTTATCTACTTAACCTCAGGTCCATGTCTGCAACCCTGATCAACTGCTGAACTAAAAAAGCAGTGCTTTCTAGCCAGAGAATATATCCTGTGACCCAGCCAAATCAGAAGGTTAAGCTAATTGCAGAGTTTAGCCAGTGGTTTTGCTGGATAGTGGAGCCTAGCCAGCTACACTATCAGAATTCACACCAAAGGCAGCAGCCTAACAATCTAGAAAACCCAAAAGAAAACTGTCTTTTCAGGGTTATTACTAGCTGTCCCATCCAGAATCGTAAGCTAGCTAAATAGTAAAGGTCTATCCTTGCCAAATAACACCTGCAAAAGTCAGAAAAGGTGGCTGTCTCCACAAATACACAAACAACAACAACAGAGGGACGTGAGGGTTACAAAGACTCAGGAAATCATGACACCGCCAAAGGAAACTAGCAAAGTGCCAAAAATAAACAACAAAAAGGAAAGGTCTATGAAATATCAGAAAAAATTCAGAATAATCCAGTTTAAAAAAGGTTCATTGAGCTTCAGATTTTTTTTAAAAAAATCACAAATAATACATAAAAATAAGAACTTTGAGAAAAATCAGAAACAATAAAGAACAAATAAAAAACCCTAGAGGTAAAAAATAAAATGACAAAATTGAAAATTTAAACAGAAAGCTTCAACACCCACCTCAAACAAGCTGAATAAATAATCAATCATCATAAAGATAACATGTGAAATTAGTCAGAAGAGCAAAAAACAAAAAACAATAAAAAAGTATGGAGAAAGATTATGGAAATTATTGGGCATAATCAAAAGACAACCTATGCCTAGTAAACCTTTAAGAAGTAAAAAAAAGAAAAAAGTGTCAGAAAAGATATTTTTCAAAATAATGAATGAGTGGGATTATGTATTTAAAATGCTAAAGAAAAAAAACGCCAACCAAGTATATACTACCTAGCAAATCTGTATTGCAGAAATGAGAGAGAAATAAAATATTTCCCAGGCAAACAAAATGTAAGGGAATTAATCACCACTACGCCTGCCATACAGAAGTTGATAAAAAAAATTTGAAAGAGAAACAAAAGGCTGCTAACTAATAACATAAAACTTATAAAAGCACAAAACTCAATAGTATAAGTAATACTTATAATAGTATAAATAAAACACATATTACAAAATGATGTAAATGATGCAAATAATGTTAATTCTAGCATTAAACACATAAAACAAGGAGGAAAGTTAAAATGTAGAGTTGTATACATTAAAATTAAGTGGCTATCAGCTTGAAATAAACCAATATTAGTGTAAAATATTATATGTATACTTCATGGTGACCAAAACCAAAAATATATACTTGATGTACAAAAGAAAAATAGAAAGGATTATATTCCTACTACAGGAAAGCATCAAGCCACAAAAGACAGCAAAAGAGGAAGAAAGAAAGCATTTAAAAACAATCAGTAAACAACGAATGGCTGTCGTTTTTACCTATTAATAATTTCCTTGAGTGTAAATAGATTAAATTATCCAATTAGAGTTATTGAATGAATAAACAATAACAAGAATAAACTATATTTTGTCTACAAAGACTTACTTTGCTTTTAAAGACACCAAAAGACTGGAAGTGAAGGGTGTAAATAGATATTCTACACAAATGGAAACCAAAAGAGAGTAGAGATAGTAATACTTATGTCAGACAGAATAAAATTTAAGTCAAAAAGTGAAAGGCATTACGTCATGATAAAAAGGTCAATTCATCAATATAATACAAATATATATATATATATATATATATATATATATATATATATATATATATCATCCAACAATGGAACACCTACATATATAAAGTGAATATTAAACGATATGAAGGGACATACATATTGCAAAACAATAATAGTAGGGGACTTCAATACACCATTTTCAATTATGGAACTATCATCCAAACATAAAATTCATAAGGAAACACTGGATTTGAACAACACTCTAGACCAAATGAACTTAACAGACGTATACAGAACATTTCAGCTAACATCATAGAATATATATTCTTCTCAAGCACACAGAGAACATTTACCAGGATACATCTTTTGTTAGCCTACAAGCCATATCTTAGCAAGTTAATCTATTTGAACCACAATTATATGAATCCAGAAACTAGTAACAGGTGGAATTTTGGAATATTCACAAATACATGAAAATTAAACAATATACTTTTGAATAGCCAAGAGGTCAATGAACAAATTAAAAGGTAAACTAAAAAATGTTTTGAGACAAACAAAAATGGTAACACAACGCAATAAAACTTGAAAAGGTCATGAATGCAGTTTTAAGAGAAAAGTTTATAGTAAAAAATGCCTACATCAAGAAGGAGAAATATATAAACACAATGTCATTTCTCAAAGTTATAGAGAAAGAAGGAAAACAAATTGAGCTCACTGTTAGCAGAATAAAATATGTAATAATGATCAGAGCAGACATAGAGTATATATAGACTGGGAAAACAATGCAAAATGTCAAGAAAACTGTGAGTTAGTTTGCTGAAAAGGTAAACAAAATAAACAAACCTTCAGGTAGAATAACAAAGAACAAATATGAAAGATGCGAAGAAATAAATGTAGAAATGGAGAAGCAGACATTAAAACTGATACTACAGAAATATAAAGCCAGAACACACCAAAAACTAGTAATGAGATCAAATACATAATAAAAAAGTCTCCCATCAAAGAAAAGCCCAACAATTAATGGCTTTATTGTTGAATTCTACCAAACATTGAAGAAGAAGTAATACACAGATTCTAATCAGATTATTCCAGATAAAAATATAAAGAAAAGGGAATCCTTTCAAACTGCTTTTATAAGGCCAGCATTATTGTGATACCAAAGCCAAATGGAAAGAAAACTACAGATAAATATTTTTAATATACACCAATGGAAAAATCCTCAACAAAATACTAGCAAACTGAATTCAACAGCACACTAAAAAGATCATTTACAGTGATCTAGTAGGATTTATCCCTGGAATGCAAGGATAACTCAACATTCACAAATCAATAAATGTGCTACACCACATTAAGAGAATGAAAAACAAAAATCATATGATCATCCCAAGACAGGAAGAGAAAGCATTTGATGAAATTTATTTTTTATGTAAAACCACTTAAAATTAGATATAGATCAAATGTACTTCAACACAATTAAGTCCACAATTAATAATGCCAAAGCTAATATTTTACTTACTGGTTAACCATTGGAATTTTTTACCCTAAGACCTAGAGCGAGACAAGTATTCTCACTCTTACTGTATCTGCTCAATATAGAATTGGAAATCCTTGACAGAGCAATAAGGTAAGAGAAAGAAATAAAAGGCATCCAAATTGACAAAGAAATAAAAATACTGCTATTTACTGATGACATGGTCTTACATGTGGAAAACTCTGAAGAGTCTACCCAAAAAACTGTTAAAACTAATGAACAAATTCAGTACAGTTTCAGGATACAAAATCAAATTCAATATGCAAAAATCAGTAGTGTTTCTTTACATTAGCCATTAACTTTTTATTAATAAAAAAGAAATAAGAAGAACAATCACATTTACAATAGCTACAGAAAAAAAGCAAAACACTTATAAATAAATTTAACAAAGGAAGTGAATGACCTGTACGCTAAAAACTATAAAACATTAATCAAAATGATAAAGGATGCAAATGAATGTAAAGTTATTCTGTGTACATGAATTTGAAGAATTAATATTGTTTAAATGTCCATGCTACCCAAAGCTATCTACAGATTCAATGCAGTCCTTATTAAATTACAATATTATTTTCACAGACATATTAAAAAATTCTAAAATGCATATAAAACTACAAAAACCCCAGGATAGCCAAGGCAATTATGAGCAAAATACAAAAGCTGTGGGCTTCACATTCCTGATTTCCAACTATGCTACAAAGTAACAGCAATTGAAATAGCATGGTACTGTCATAAACAGATACATCAAACAAGGAACCAGGATAGAGATCCTGTAAATGAGCTCACTCATGTATGCTCAATGGATATTTAACAAACATGTCAAGAATATGCAATGTTAAAAACGTCTTTTCAATAAATGGCATTGAGAAAACTGGATATCCATATGCAAGATAATTAAATTGAATTCTTGTTTCACAACATATTCAAAAATCAATTCAAAATGGATTAAAGATATAAACATAATAACTGAATCTTTAAAACTACTAGAACAAAACAGAGAGGGAGGCAAGCTACATGATATTGGTCTGGGCAATGATTTTTTTTGTTTTTAGATTTGACCTCAATAGGGCAATAACAAAAGGAAAAATAAGCAAATGGGATTACATCAAATTAAAAGCTTCTGCACAACAAAAGGGACAATGAACAGATTGAAATATAACACCTACAGATTGGAAGCAAATACTTGCAAGTCATACATCTGATAAAGAATTCATAATTAATATATATGTATTTTATATATATATACATATATGTGTATATATATATATATAGAGAGAGAGAGAGAGACAGAGAGAGAGAGAGAGAGAGAGAGAGAGAGATAGTATTAGTTCTGGCCCTCTGAGAGAGAGAGAGAGAGTGAGTATTAGTTCTGTCCCTCTAGAGAACCCTGACTAATATACCTGCCTAAGTAACTCTGCTATTTGGGATCTCCAGTTCTCCAGTTGGACAGGGCTTCAGGCTGGGCTCCGAGGTTAGTCAGAGTCACCACTCAGAACAAGTGAGACCAGGCCTATGCTCCTCAGAAATTCACAATTGAAGATTGCCTCCCCAAGTGGGCGATGTGGGGTGTGATTTTGGCTGAGTTGAGCTGCTATTTGTTCTTTTTTGTTGAGCAAGTGTAGCTTCTATGCTTCTCCAAAATGCAAAGAGGTGAGGATCTTCCTGCCTGAGTTGGGTCATTGAAATAAGATTTTAGTTGATCTGAGACATTTTTAGACTCCTGGGAAAGCACGTATAGCTCCCGTGTCTCTCCAAAATGCATGCACATGAGCATTTTTCTGCCTTAGCAGGGTCATTGTGGTGGGCTCTGAGGCTGGGTGTGGAGCCTAGTCACCTGCGGAATTAAACAAAATTGAATTTCCCACTGTGCTTCGGGAAACAACCAGCTCATCTTTATGCGTGAGCTATGCAGTTGGTGTAGCCAATCGGGCACCACAATGGGCAGGAACATGAAAATACCACCAAGATCTGCATACCAGTTACTGCGAGCTCCACCTTCTTAGATTTTATCCAACGTTGTGTGGCTTAGCAGTATTATTAACCCCAGTGTCCCTTGTGAAGTGAAGCCAGAGTGGGCTTCCAGGGAAGTGTGTTGGAATTCTAGGGAAGGTGTACAGCTACTTCCACTTCTTTCTCTGGGTTGATAGCCTTAGGGGAATCCTCTTTATCTTGAATTGTGTCAACTTGGGGGAGGGGGAGAGGAGGCATAATAAAAATGAGGCTACTCTAACCCTCATAATTTGGTTTTCATTTAGTTCTATGGACCACACAGAGCCTCAGGTTTGTTTTCAAGTACTGGGGTTTTCAAAAATATATTCTTATTCTGACCTGTGGGTATTTGCTAGGTGAACTTTCTGTGGCATGAAATAGAACCTGAGACTTTCTACTCCACCATCTTGCTGAAATAACTAATTTGATGCTATTGTGATTGTGATTTTTTCGTAATTTATTTTTGTATAGTTCATTATTAATGTAGAAAAAAGCAACTGATTTGTTAATGTTGATTTTGTATCCTACAACATTACCGAATGTGTTTACTAATTCTAACAGATGATTTTCGTGGAGCCTTTAGGGTTTTCTATACATATTAATAATACCATGTCATTTGCAAATTGAGACAATTGCACTTCTTTCTAATTTGGATGGCTTTTAATTTTTTTATTGCCTAATTTCTCTGGCTGAGACTTCCAAAACTATGTTCAGTAGAAGTGGAAGGAGTAAGTTTTATTGCCTTGTTCCTTTTCTTGGAGGAAAAGCTTTGAAGTTTTCACCGAATATAATGTGAAAACTGCAGGTTTTTAATATATTGCTTTTATTGTGTTGAGGTAAATTCTTTCAAAACTTAGACTGTTGAGAGATTTTATTATAAAAGTGCATTAAATTTTTGAAATTTTTTTTCTGAATGTTTTGAAATAATCTTGTAATCTTTAACCTTCTTTCTGTTAATGTGGTGTATTACCCTTATTGACTTACATATGTTAAAGCATGCTTGCACCCTAAGGATAATTAGCACTTGCTCATGATGTATTACTCTTCTAATATGCTGTTGCATTAGTTTGCTAGTATTTTGTTTCAGATTTTTGGATCAATATTCAACAGAAATATTGACTTGGAATTATGTTTTCTTATACTGTCTTTGTCTGGCTTTCACATAAGGGTAACTCTGACCTAACAAAATGAGTTCAAAAATACGTCCTCTTCAATTTTTTAGAAGAGTTTATGAAAGTTTGTTGTTAACTTCTCTTTAAATGTTTGGTAGAATTCACCAATGAAGCCATCTGGTGTTGAGCTTTTCATTGCTGGGGGGTTTATGATTAGTAATTACATCTCCTTAATCATTATTATCCTGTTCAAATTTTCTATTTTTTAATGACTCAGTCTTGTTACACTCTGGGTTTCTAGAATTTTCTGCTACTACTAAGAAATCTACTTCTTCTAGATTATTCATTTGTTGGCACGTAATTGTTTGTAGTTGTCTTACAATCTTTTGAATTTATGTGGTTTTAGTTGTAATGTCTCCTTTTTCACACTTCTCCCTTCAATTTTTAGTCTAGCTAAAACTTTGTAAATTTAATCTTTTGAAAAAAACAACTGTTTTTTTTTACTATTTCCTGTTGTTTTTCTACTTTTGAATTTTATTTATTTTTACTTTGTTCATTTTCTTTTCAATTTTTATTTTTAGTTCAGTAATACATGTATGGGATGCACAGGTTTGTTACATAGCTAAACATGTGCCATGGTGGTTTGCTGCATAGATCATTCCATCACCTAGATATTAAGCCCAGCATCCATTAGCTATTCTTCCTGATGTTCTCCCTCCCCCAACTAGCCCCTTCGACAGACCCCAGTGTGTGTTGTGCCACTACATGTGTCTACCTATTCTCATCATTCAGCTCCCACTTTAAGAACACGTAGTGTTTTAATTTTCCATTGATGCATTAGTTGGCTGAAGGCAATGGCTTCTAACTCCACTCATGACCCTGCAAAAGACATAATCTCATTTCTTTTATGGCTGCATAGTATTCCATGTATATGTACATGTACTAAATTTTCTACATGCAGTCTATCATTGATGGGCATTTAGATTGTTTCCATATCTTTGCTATTGTGAATACTGCTGCAATTAATATACAAATGCATGTATGTTTGTAATAGAATGAATTATATTCCTTTGGGGATATACTCATTAATGGGATTGCTGGGTCAAATGGTGTTTCTGCCTCTGGGTCTTTGAGGAGTCGCCACACTGACTTCAACAGTGGATGAACTAATTTACACTTTCACCAACAAACTAAAAAAGTTTTTTCTTTTTTTTTTTCTCGGCAACCTTGCCAGCATCTGTTGTGTTTTGACTTTTTAATAATTGCCATTCTGACTGGCATGAGACGGTATCTCATCGTGGTTTTGACTTGCATTTTTCTAATGATCAGTGATGTTGATCTTTTTTCATGTTTGTTGGCTACATGTCTGTCTTCTTTTGGGAAGTGTCTATTCATGTTTTTTGCCCACTTTTTAATTGGGTTGTTTGTTTATTTATTGTAAATTCGTTTAAGTGCCTTGTAGACTCTGGATATTAGACCTTTGTCAAATTGATAAATTGAAGAAATTTTCTCCCTTTCTGTAGGTTGTCTGTTCACTCTGATGATAGTTTCTTTTGCTGTGCAGAGGTTTTTTAGTTTAATTAGATATCATCAGTCTATTATTGCTTTTGTTGCAATTGCTTTTGGGTTTTTGTCATAAAATCTTTGCTCATGCTTATGTTGTGAATGGTATTGCCTAGATTTTCTTCTAGGGTTTTTATAGTTTTGGGGTTCACATTTAAGTTTTTGATCCAATTTGAGTTAATTTTTGTCTATGTTGTAAGAAAAGGTCCATTTTCTATTTTCTGTCTCACTGGATTCAGTCCCCTTCCTACAGATATATAGGAATGGGTTTCCCTCCTAGCCAGGGATCCTGGGGCTGGAGAATGTAAAACTCCTGGGTCTCTGTGTGTACTGAGTGTCTGTTCTGCCGAGACTTGACACAGTTCTGTGTATCAGACCCAAGGCCTGTTGGTGTTGGCTAACTAGGGAATCTCCTAATCCATGGGTTGCAAAAATCCATGGAAGAAGTGTGGTTTTTCTGGGTGGGGTTGCACAATCACTCACTGGTTCCCTTGGCTGGGGATGGGGGTTCCTTTGGTTCCATTATGCTCTTGGGTGAGCCATCGCTCCCCCTCCTATGTTTCTACATTATAATTGGGCCGAAATTTTTGCCTAGTCAGTCCCAATGTGAGAACCTGGATATTTCAGTTGAAGGTGCTGAAATTACTCACCCCTTTTCATTCCTCTCTGTGAGTGCCACAGACCACAGCTGCTTCTAAATTGGCCATCTTGCATCTGATCAGTTTAGTCTTTATTACACCTTTGCTCTGTGAACTTTGGGATTAGTTTTTCTTTTTGTAGTTCCTAGTGAGTTTATGTTTGTTTAATTTATATCTTTCAACTTTTTACATGCATTTGTTTATTACTGTAAACTCTGCTTTGGCTGCCTCAGTTAAGTTTCTTAGAGATTTTGGATATTAGACACTTGTCAGATGTGTAGATTAAAAATATATTCTCTTATTCTGTAGGTTGTCTCTTTATTCTATTGATAGTTTCTTTTGCTGTGCAGGAGGTCTTTAATTAGGTTCCATCAGTCAATTTTAATTTTTGTTGAAGACTTAGTAATGAATTGTTTCTCAAAGCTGACCTCCAAAATTGTGTTTTCTAGGTTTTCTTCTAGCATTCTTAAAGTTTGAAGTCTTATATCTAAATTTTTAATCTATCTTGAGTTAACTTTTGTTTACAGTGAAAGGTAGTGGTCCAGTTTTATTCTTCTGCATATGGCTGGCCAGGATTCCAGTACCATTTGTTGAATAGGGGGTCTTTGCCTCATTGCTTATTTTTGTTGACTTTGTCTAAGATCAAATGGCTTTGGTGTATGGCTTTACTTCTGGGTTCTCTACTTCATCCCATTTGTCTATATCTCTGTTCTTGTACCAGTACCACGCTGTTTTGGTTATTGTAGCCTTATAGTACGGTTTAAAGTCTGGTAATATAATCCTTCTGATTGTGTTCCTTTTGCTTATAATTGCTTTGAAAAATTGGGATCCTTTTAAATTCCATTTAAATCTTAGAATAGCCTTTTCTAGGTCTGTGAAAAAATGGCATTGGTTGTTTGATAGGAATAGTGTTGAATCTGCAATTTGCTTCGAGAAGTGTGGTCACTTTAGTAATATTGATTCTTCCAATCCATTAGCACCAACTGTTTTTCCATTCATTTGTCTAATATATATTTTTTTCAGCAGTGTCTTTTAGTTCTTCTTGTAGTTACCTTGCACCTCACTGGGTAGCTGCATTCCTAGGTATTTTATTCTTTTTGTGGCAATTTTGAATAAGATTGTATTCTTGATTTGGCTCTCAGCTTGTATCTTATTGTTATATAGTGATGTTACTTCCTTTAATATAAATTTTGTATCTTGAAACTTTACTGAAATTGTTTATCAATTACAATATACTTTTGGTGAAATCTTTAGGGTTTTCTAGATATAGATTTATATCATCAGCAAGAAGAAACAGTTTGACTTATTTTTCTCCTATTTGTATGCATTTTAGTTTTTTATCTTGCCTGATTGCTGTGGCTAGTACATCTAGTACTATGTTGAAGAATGATGAGATTGAGCATACTTGTTTTGTCATAGCTCTCAAGGGGAATGAATGCTTTCAGTAATTGTCCATTCAGTATAATGTTGGCTGAGGTTTTATCATAGATGGCTCTTATTATTTGGAGGTATGTCCCTTTGATGCCTAGTTTTTTGATGATTTTTATCATAAAGTCATGTATTTTATTGAAGGCTCTTTCTTCATCTATTGAGATTTTATACATATATATCTTTATATATAAATATATTTTTTAGATATTGAATAATCTATATATAGAAATATATATTGAAATATATAATTCAGTTTATGTGATTAATTTCATATATTGATTTACATATGTTAAAACAACCTTGCATCGCAGGAATAAAGCCTACTTGATTATTGTGAATTAACTTTTTGATATGCTTTTGAATTTGGTTTGGTAGTACATTGTTGAGCATTTTTGTCTCTATGTTTATCAGGAATATTTGCCTGTAATTTTATTTTATTGTTGTGCCTTTTCTAGGTTTTTTTCTACAAGGGTGGTGCTTCACAGAATGAGTTAGAAATAAGTCTTTCCTCAAATTTTTGGTATAATGTCAGTAGAATTGGTGCCAGTTTTTCATACATCTGTTAGATTTCACCTGTGAATTTATCTGGTCTGGGGCTTTCTTTTGATGGGTAAGTTGTATATTACTGATTCAACTTTGGAACTAAATATTGGTCATTTCAAGATTTCAATTTTTTCTTCATTCAATCTTGGGAGATAGTGTTTTCTGGAAATTTTTCCATTACCTCTAGCTTTTCCAGTTTATGTGCATAGAGATGTTCATAATAGTCTCAGAGGATCTTTTTCTTTTACCTGGTATTAATTGTAATTTCACCTTTGTAATTTCTGATTGTGTTTTTTGTGACTTCTGCCTTTTTTCTTTGCTAATCTAACTACGAATCTATCAGTATTTTTTATTCTTTTAACAAATCACCTTTTGATTTGACTGAGACTGTATGGATTTGGGGATGTCAATTTTGTTCATGTCTGCTCTGATTTTATTCATTTTTTTTTCTGATAGCTTTGGGCTTACTTTGTTGCTGTTTTTCTAGTTCCTCTAGATGTGATGTTAGTTCATTAATTTGAAATAATTCTGATTTTTTTAGGTCATAATTTAGCACTATAAACTTTATTTTTAACACTGCTTTTGCTGCACCTCAGAGATTTTGGTGTGACCTATCTCATTTCATTTAATTGCAATTATTTATTTATTTATTTATTTATTTATTTATTTATTCATTTATTTTGAGATGGAATCTTGCTCTGTTGCTCAGGTTGGAGTGCAGTGGCACAATCTCGGCTTATCGCAACCTCCACCTCCCGGGTTCAAGCGATTTTCCTGCCTCAGTCTCCCGAATAGCTGAAATTAAAAGCACCTGCCACCATGCCTGGCTAATTTTCATGTTTTTAGTAGAGACGGGGTTTCACCACGTTGGCCATGCTGGTTTCGAACTCCTGAACTCAAGTGATCTGCGCACCTTAGCCAATCAAAGTGCTGGGATTATAGGTGTGAGCCACCATGCCCAGCCCAGTGTTTTTTAATTTCTTCCTTAATTTTATGGGTTACCCTGAAGTCATTCAGTATCAAGTTGTTTAATTTTTGTTTATTTCTGCAGTTTTGACAGATCTTTTTTGTATTGATTTTTATTTTTATTTAATTGCTGTCAAAGAGTATGGTTGCTATAATTTTGATTTGCATTATATTTATTGAGACTTGCTTTATAACTGAGTATGTGATCCATCTTGGAGTATATACTCTATATAGATAAGAAAAATTCATATTTCGTGGTTGATGGGTAGAGTATTTTTTAGATGCCTATGAGGTATAATTGTTCAAGTGTCAAATTAAATCTCAGAATTTCTTTGTTAGTTTTCTCCCTTGATGATCTATTTATTGTTGTCAGTGGGGTGTTGAAGTCTCCCACTATTGTGTGTCTGTACAAATCTTTCGGTAGATCTAGAAGTACTTTTTTATGAATCTGGGTTTTCCAATGATGAGTGCATATTTATTTAAGATAGTTATGTCTTCTCGTTTAATTGAACCCTATGTAATTATGTAATGCCATTCTTTGTCTCGTTTTTGCTGTTGTTGGTTTAAAATTTGTTTTATCTTATATATGAGTAATAATTCCTGCTTCTTTTGGTTTTTCATTTGTGTGGTAAATCTTTCTCCATCCCTTTCTGTTCAGTTTATGGGTGTCTTTACATGTAAGATGGTCTCTTCAACACAGCAGGCAGATGGTTTTTTGTTGTTGTTGTTTATTCAAGTTTCCACTGTGTGCTTTTTATGTGTGGTGTTTAGACCATTTACATTCAAGTTTAATTTTAATTCATGAGATTTTAATTCTATCATGAGGTGGCTAGCTTGTTGCTTTGTCATTTCTTTTGTGTCATTGGTTTATATAGTCTGTGGGGCTATATGCACTTACATGAGTTTTTTTTTTGTGATAGCAGGTATTATTCATTTGTTTTCATGTTTAGAACTCCCTTAAAAATATCTCCTGATGAGTGTCTAGTGGTAACAAATACCCTTAGCACTTGCTTGTCTGGAAAATATTTTATCCCCCCTTTGCTTATAAAGCTTACTCTGACCTGCTATAAAAATATTGTTTTGAATTTCTTTCCTTTAAAAATGCTTAAAATAAGCCCTTAATCTCTCCTGGCTCATACAATTTCTGCTGAAAAGTCTGCTGTTAGCCTGACTGGGTTTTCTTTGTACTTGATATAACCTTTTTCTCTAGCTTCTTCTTGAGACTTTTTTTCTTTAGCATTGACTTTAAACCAACAACAGTAAAATAAGTACAAAGAATGACATATTTATTTCAGTTCAGGACTGTTTCTAGAGAGCTAGTACAAACCTTTGGTGGTGTCAATATACTCAGATTTTTCATGATTTCTGAATCTTGTGCTGTTTTCTTTTTATCTGGACATTCTAACACTTCTAATTTTTGTGCAAGTAGAATTTTTCTTTTTCTTTCTTTACTTATAATATAATTAGTTTTTTTTTCTTTCCTTTTCCTTTTCCTCCTGTACCTAGGGGATATGACTTTATAGAATGCTGACTAGGGTCCGCATTGGCTTTGCTTCCATAGCCCTGTGCACTTCTGTCAGTGCATTTTATATTGGGCTATGCCATTTCACCTACCAACCAGTAGATGGTGCTAATAGGTAAGAGCCTGCTGCACCAGACATGGCTGGATGTGTTCCTGGTCTTTGTTTAAACAATAGGCTGATTTGTGAAATGCACACTGGTCTGTGCTCCCTGATTAACCGTGGTGGTCTGGGGACCAATATGGTTGGGAGCACACTGGGCATGTCTGCCTAGAGGTAGTAGTTATTGTGCTGCAATTAGTTTGATCCTGTGTAGTATTTCTTAGAATCTTTTATTTAAAACATGTTCTCAGAACTTCTTATGGTAAAATATGTGCTATGAGCACATGCACGGATACAATTGTAAATCAGAGAATCATAAGATCTTGTAATTTAAAAACAAGAGAAGCTTCCTAAAGCTTATCAGAGAACTCTAAGACTTTACTAAATTTTGTGTTTATATGTAAAACCCATAACAAGTAAATAGTGCCTAAAATTTGAGGAAATAACTGAAGATCAGTGACAAAGTTAATTAGATATATGTTTTAATGACTCAAATGAAGAAATTTAAAAAGCTTAATAAATCAGAGTACTAGAGAGGTTATGTTTGCTTCTTTTATTTATCTGTCTGAAGATCAATACTACACATTAAACTCCCATATTTTAGTAGGTAAACATGTGAATCAAGAAAAATTTTCAACCACTCTCTGCCATTTTCCTCAGGTCCTTATTACTCTTGACAACTGAAACATGTCTTGATAGGTCCTCTTGATTGCTCATGTTGTTTGAATATTTGTCTCTTCCAAATATCATTTGAAATGTGGCCCACAATGTTGGAGGTGGGGTCTGCCAGAAGGTGATTTTGTCATGGAAGTAGATCCTTCACGAATTGTTTGGTAACATCTCCATGGTTATATGTGAGTTCTTGCTCTATTAGTTCAAGTGAGAGCTGGTTATTAAAACGAATCTGGCATAACTTCCTCTCTCTCTTATTCCTTCTCTCATCATGTGACATGTCTGCTCCCTCTATATCTTCTGCTATAATTTTAAACTCCCTGAAGTTCTCACCAGATGCAGATGCTAGTGTCATGCTTCTTGAAAAACTTGTAGAACTGTAAGTTTGTTTTTCATACAAATTACTCAGCCTGAGGCATTCCTTTATAGAAGTACAAAATGGAGTAATACAGGAAATTTGCACCAGGAACGGGCTGTTGCTAAAAAGACACTTGAACCTGTGGAAGCAGATTCAAATCTGGGTAATGTACAGAGGTTAGTAAGATTTGGAGAAGTAGAAGATATAAAGTTTAGAGAAAGTTTTGTACTTATTAGAGACTATTTAAGTGGTTTTAACCTAAATGCTGATAAAAATATGGGTGGTAAAAACCAGGCTGGTGATGTATCAGGTGGAAAAAAGAAACTTATAGGGAATTAGAGCAAAGATTACCTTCGTTATGTCTTAGCAGAAATTTAGCTGAATTGTGTCCATGTCCTAGACTTTTTGGAAGGCTGAACTTAAGAAGGATGATGTGGGTATATGGAGGAAGGAATTTCTTTTTATTTTATTTTATTTTATTTTTATTTTTATTTATTTTTTTATTATACTTTAAGTTTTAGGGTACATGTGCACATTGTGCAGGTTAGTTACATATGTATACATGTGCCATGCTGGTGCGCTGCACCCACAAACTCGTCATCTAGCATTAGGTATATCTCCCAATGCTATCCCTCCCCCCTCCCCCCACCCCACAACAGTCCCCAGAGTGTGATGTTCTCCTTCCTGTGTCCATGTGATCTCATTGTTCAATTCCCACCTATGAGTGAGAATATGCGGTGTTTGGTTTTTTGTTCTTGTGATAGTTTACTGAGAATGATGATTTCCAATTTCATCCATGTCCCTACAAAGGACATGAACTCATCATTTTTTATGGCTGCATAGTATTCCATGGTGTATATGTGCCACATTTTCTTAATCCAGTCTATCATTGTTGGACATTTGGGTTGGTTCCAAGTCTTTGGTATTGTGAATAATGCCGCAATAAACATATGTGTCCATGTGTCTTTATAGCAGCATGATTTATAGTCCTTTGGGTATATACCCAGTAATGGGATGGCTGGGTCAAAAGGTATTTCTAGTTCTAGATCCCTGAGGAATCGCCACACTGACTTCCACAATGGTTGAAGTAGTTTACAGTCCCACCAACAGTGTAAAAGTGTTCCTATTTCTCCACATCCTCTCCAGCACCTGTTGTTTCCTGACTTTTTAATGATTGCCATTCTAACTGGTGTGAGATGGTATCTCATTGTGGTTTTGATTTGCATTTCTCTGATGGCCAGTGATAATGAGCATTTTTTCATGTGTTTTTTGGCTGCATAAATGTCTTCTTTTGAGAAGTGTCTGTTCATGTCCTTTGCCCACTTTTTGATGGGGTCGTTTGTTTTTTTCTTGTAAATTTGTTTGAGTTCATTGTAGATTCTGGATATTAGCCCTTTGTCAGATGAGTAGGTTGCAAAAATTTTCTCCCATTTTGTGGGTTGCCTGTTCACTCTGATGGTAGTTTCTTTTGCTGTGCAGAAGCTCTTTAGTTTAATTAGATCCCATTTGTCAATTTTGGCTTTTGTTGCCATTGCTTTTGGTGTTTTAGACATGAAGTCCTTGCCCAAGCCTATGTCCTGAATGGTAATGCCTAGGTTTTCTTCTAGGGTTTTTATGGTTTTAGGTTTAACGTTTAAGTCTTTAATCCATCTTGAATTGATTTTTGTATAAGGTGTAAGGAAGGGATCCAGTTTCAGCTTTCTACATATGGCTGGCCAATTTTCCCAGCACCATTTATTAAATAGGGAATCCTTTCCCCATTGCTTGTTTTTGTCAGGTTTGTCAAAGATCAGATAGTTGTAGATATGTGGCATTATTTCTGAGGGCTCTGTTCTGTTCCATTGATCTATATCTCTGTTTTGATACCAGTACCATGCTGTTTTGGTTACTGTAGCCTTGTAGTATAGTTTGAAGTCAGGTAGTGTGATGCCTCCAGCTTTGTTCTTTTGGCTTAGGATTGACTTGGCGATGTGGGCTCTTTTTTGGTTCCATATGAACTTTAAAGTAGTTTTTTCCAATTCTGTGAAGAAAGTCATTGGTAGCTTGATGGGGATGGCATTGAATCTGTAAATTACCTTGGGCAGTATGGCCATTTTCATGATATTGATTCTTCCTACCCATGAGCATGGAATGTTCTTCCATTTGTTTGTATCCTCTTTTATTTCCTTGAGCAGTGGTTTGTAGTTCTCCTTGAAGAGGTCCTTCACGTCCCTTGTAAGTTGGATTCCTAGGTATTTTATTCTCTTTGAAGCAATTATGAATGGGAATTCACTCATGATTTGGCTCTCTGTTTGTCTGTTGTTGGTGTATAAGAATGCTTGTGATTTTTGTACATTGATTTTGTATCCTGAGACTTTGCTGAAGTTGCTTATCAGCTTAAGGAGATTTTGGGCTGAGACAATGGCGTTTTGTAGATATACAATCATGTCGTCTGCAAACAGGGACAATTTGACTTCCTCTTTTCCTAATTGAATACGCTTTATTTCCTTCTCCTGCCTAATTGCCCTGGCCAGAACTTCCAACACTATGTTGAATAGGAGTGGTGAGAGAGGGCATCCCTGTCTTGTGCCAGTTTTCAAAGGGAATGCTTTCAGTTTTTGCCCATTCAGTATGATATTGGCTGTGGGTTTGTCACAGATAGCTCTTATTATTTTGAAATACGTCCCATCAATACCTAATTTATTGAGAGTTTTTAGCATGAAGGGTTATTGAATTTTGTCAAAGGCCTTTTCTGCATCTATTGAGATAATCATGTGGCTTTTGTCTTTGGTTCTGTTTATATGCTGGATTACATTTATTGATTTGCATATATTGAACCAGCCTTGCATCCCAGGGATGAAGCCCACTTGATCATGGTGGATAAGCTTTTTGATGTGCTGCTGGATTTGGTTTGCCAGTATTTTGTTAAGGATTTTTGCATCAATGTTCATCAAGGATATTGGTCTAAAATTCTCTTTTTCGGTTGTGTCTCTGCCCGGCTTGGGTATCAGAATGATGCTGGCCTCATAAAATGAGTTAGGGAGGATTCCCTCTTTTTCTATTGATTGGAATAGTTTCAGAAGGAATGGTACCAGTTCCTCCTTGTACCTCTGGTAGAATTCGGCTGTGAATCCATCTGGTCCTGGACTCTTTTTGGTTGGTAAGCTATTGATTATTGCCACAATTTCAGCTCCTGTTATTGGTCTATTCAGAGATTCAACTTCTTCCTGGTTTAGTCTTGGGAGAGTGTATGTGTCGAGGAATTTATCCATTTCTTCTAGATTTTCTAGTTTATTTGCATAGAGGTGTTTGTAGTATTCTCTGATGGTAGTTTGTATTTCTGTGGGATCGGTGGTGATATCCCCTTTATCATTTTTTATTGCGTCTATTTGATTCTTCTCTCTTTTCTTCTTTATTAGTCTTGCTAGTGGTCTATCAATTTTGTTGATCCTTTCAAAAAACCAGCTCCTGGATTCATTAATTTTTTGAGGGGTTTTTTGTGTCTCTATTTCCTTCAGTTCTGCTCTGATTTTAGTTATTTCCTGCCTCCTGCTAGCTTTTGAATGTGTTAGCTCTTGCTTTTCTAGTTCTTTTAATTGTGATGTTAGGGTGTCAATTTTGGATCTTTCCTGCTTTCTCTCCTGGGCATTTAGTGCTATAAATTTCCCTCTACACAATGCTTTGAATGTGTCCCCGAGATTTTGGTATGTTGTGTATTTGTTCTCGTTGGTTTCAAAGAGCATCTTTATTTCTGCCTTCATTTCGTTATGTACCCAGTAGTCATTCAGGAGCAGGTTGTTCAGTTTCCATGTAGTTGAGCGGTTTTGAGTGAGATTCTTAATCCTGAGTTCTAGTTTGATTGCACTGTGGTCTGAGAGATAGTTTGTTATAATTTCTGTTCTTTTACATTTGCTGAGGAGAGCTTTACTTCCAAGTATGTGGTCAATTTTGGAACAGGTGTGGTGTGGTGCTGAAAAAAATGTATATTCTGTTGATTTGGGGTGGAGAGTTCTGTAGATGTCTATTAGGTCCGCTTGGTGCAGAGCTGAGTTCAATTCCTGGGTATCCTTATTGACTTTCTGTTTTGTTGATCTGTCTAATGTTGACAGTGGGGTGTTAAAGTCTCCCATTATTAATGTGTGGGAGTCTAAGTCTCTTTGTAGGTCACTCAGGACTTGCTTTATGAATCTGGGTGCTCCTGTATTGGGTGCATATATATTTAGGATAGTTAGCTCTTCTTGCTGAATTGATCCCTTTAACATTATGTAATGGCCTTCTTTGTCTCTTTTGATCTTTGTTGGTTTAAAGTCTGTTTTATCAGAGACTAGGATTGCAACCCCTGCCTTTTTTTGTTTTCCATTGGCTTGGTAGATCTTCCTCCATCCTTTTATTTTGAGCCTATGTGTGTCTCTGCACATGAGATGGGTTTCCTGAATACAGCACACTGATGGGTCTTGACTCTTTATCCAATTTGCCAGTCTGTGTCTTTTAATTGGAGCATTTAGTCCATTTACATTTAAAGTTAATATTGTTTTGTGTGAATTTGATCCTGTCATTATGATGTTAGCTGGTTATTTTGCTCGTTAGTTGATGCAGTTTCTTCCTAGTCTCGATGGTCTTTACATTTTGGCATGATTTTGCAGTGGCTGGTACTGGTTGTTCCTTTCCATGTTTAGCGCTTCCTTCAGGAGCTCTTTTAGGGCAGGCCTGGTGGTGACAAAATCTCTCAGCAGGGAGGAGCCAAGATGGCCGAATAGGAACAGCTCTGGTCTACAGCTCCCAGTGTGAGCGACGCAGAAGATGGGTGATTTCTGCATTTCCATCTGAGGTACCGGGTTCATCTCACTAGGGAGTGCCAGACAGTGGGCGCAGGTCAGTGGGTGCGTGCACCGTGCGCTAGCCGAAGCAGGGCGAAGCATTGCCTCACTCGGGAAGCGCAAGGGGTCAGGGAGTTCCCTTTCCGAGTCAAAGAAAGGGGTGACAGATGGCACCTGGAAAATCGGGTCACTCCCACCTGAATACTGCGCTTTTCCGACGGGCTTAAAAAATGGTGCACCACGAGATTATATACCGCACCTGGCTCGGAGGGTCCTACACCCACGGAGTCTCACTGATTGCTAGCACAGCAGTCTGAGATCAAACTGCAAGGAGGCAGCGAGGCTTGGGGAGGGGCGCCCACCATTGCCCAGGCTTGCTTAGGTAAACAAAGCAGCCTGGAAGCTCGAACTAGGTGGAGCCCACCACCGCTCAAGGAGGCCTGCCTGCCTCTGTAGGCTCCACCTCTGGGGGCAGGGCACAGACAAACAAAAAGACAGCAGTAACCTCTGCAGACTTAAATGTCCCTGTCTGACAGCTTTGAAGAGAGCAGTGGTTCTCCCAGCATGCAGCTGGAGATCTGAGAACGGGCAGACTGCCTCCTCAAGTGGGTCCCTGACCCCTGACCCCCGAGCAGCCTAACTGGGTGGCACCCCCCTGCAGGGGCACACTGACACCTCACACGGCAGGGTATTCCAACAGACCTGCAGCTGAGGGTCCTGTCTGTTAGAAGGAAAACTAACAAACAGAAAGGACATCCACACCAAAAACCCATCTGTACATCACCATCATCAAAGACCAAAAGTAGATAAAACCACAAAGATGGGGAAAAAACAGAACAGAAAAACTGGAAACTCTAAAAAGCAGAGCGCCTCTCCTCCTCCAAAGGAATGCAGTTCCTCACCAGCAACGGAACAAAGCTGGACGGAGAATGACTTTGATGAGCTGAGAGAAGAAGGCTTCAGACGATCAAATTACTCTGAGCTACGGGAGGACATTCAAACCAAAGGCAAAGAAGTTGAAAACTTTGAAAAAAGTTTAGAAGAATGTATAACTAGAATAACCAATACAGAGAAGTGCTTAAAGGAGCAGATGGAGCTGAAAACCAAGGCTCGAGAACTACGTGAAGAATGCAGAAGCCTCAGGAGCTGATGCGATCAACTGGAAGAAAGGGTATCAGCAATGGAAGAGGAAATGAATGAAATGAAGCGAGAAGGGAAGTTTAGAGAAAAAAGAATAAAAAGAAACGAGCAAAGCCTCCAAGAAATATGGGACTATGTGAAAAGACCAAATCTATGTCTGATTGGTGTACCTGAAAGTGATGGGGAGAATGGAACCAAGTTGGAAAACACTCTGCAGGATATTATCCAGGAGAATTTCCCCAATCTAGCAAGGCAGGCCAACGTTCAGATTCAGGAAATACAGAGAACGCCACAAAGATACTCCTCGAGAAGAGCAACTCCAAGACACATAATTGTCAGATTCACCAAAGTTGAAATGAAGGAAAAAATGTTAAGGGCAGCCAGAGAGAAAGGTCGGGTTACCCTCAAAGGGAAGCCCATCAGACTAACAGCGGATCTCTCAGCAGAAACCCTACAAGCCAGAAGAGAGTGGGGGCCAATATTCAACATTCTTAAAGAAAAGAATTTTCAACCCAGAATTTCATATCCAGCCAAACTAAGCTTCATAAGTGAAGGAGAAATAAAATACTTTACAGACAAGGAAATGGAGGAAGGAATTTCTAAGCAGCAAAGCATTCAAGAAATGGTTTGGCTGCTTTTGATGGCCTAGGAATAGAAAGGTGAGCAAAAGAATGACTTAAAGGTGGAACTTATATTTAAAAGTAAAGCAGGGCATAAAAGTTCAAAAATTTTCCAGTCTGGCTGTGTAGTAGGGAAGAAAATAGTCTTTTCAAATACAAGGGGGAGGCAGGGTAACCTCTTATGAGAGAGATTAGCATGACTAAAAGTGAGCCAGATGCTAATATTGAATACAGTAGGGAGAAGGCCTTGAAATCTTTTCCAAAAACCTTCCAGGATTTTCCTCCCATGAAGGCCCAGAGGCCTAAAAGGACAGATTCATTTCGGGGGGTCATAAACAGGGTGCCGTTAACCTATGCCACCTCAGGATTCTGCTCCCTGCATCCCAGCTACTCCAGCTCCAGCCAAGGCTTGAAGGACTGCAGGTATATCCTGGGCTGCCACTCCGGAGGGTGCAAACTGTAGGCTTTGTGAATTTCACTTGGTGTTAAGTTTGCAGGCACACAGAATGCGATTGTAAAGAAGGTTTGGTGGCTTCCACCTAGATTTTAGAGGATGTATTGGAAAGCCTGAGTACCCCCAGGCAGAAGCCTGCCACAGGAAAAAAACCTTTACAGAGAAGCTCTACTAGGACAGTGCTAAGGAAAAAATGTGGGATTGGAGCCCCCATACAGAGTTCCCAATGAAGCACTGCCTAATAGAGATGTGGGAATGGGGCTACCACCTTTCAGTTCCCAGAATTTTACAGCAATCGGCAGCATGCACCCTCAGCCGGGAAAAGCTGCAAGCATTGTACTCCAATGCTTGAGAGCAACCACGTGGGCTACACCCAACAGAGCCATGAGGGCAAAGCTGCCCAAGGTCTTTGGAGAACGCCCCTCACAACAGTGTGCCCAGCATATGGGAAACAGTGTCAAGAATTATTTTGGAGCTTTAAGATTGAATTTACCCCCAATGTTAGAGGTGCGGTCTAGTGGGAGATATTTAGGTCATGTACACGTATCTTTCATGAATGCCCTGGTGCCTTCTGCATCATAATCAGTGAGTTCTCACTCTATTAGTTAATGCAAGAGTTGGGTTTTTTTTTTTGTTTTTTTTTTTTGAGACAGAGTCTTCTTGCGCTGTCGCCCAGGCTGTGGTGCAGGGGCGCAATCTCGGCTCACTGCAAGCTCCGCCTCCCGGGTTAAGGCCATTCTCTTGCCTCAGCCTCCCGAGTAGCTGGGACTAAAGGCGCCGGCCACCACGCCAGGCTAATTTTTTGTATTCTTCATAGAGACGGGGTTTCACCATGTTAGCCAGGATGGTCTCGACCTCCTGACCTCGTGATCCGCCTGCCTCAGCCTCCCAAAGTGCTGGGATTACAGGCGTGAGCCAAGAGTTGGTTATTAAGAAGAGTCTGGCACTCTTCCCCTTCCCTTTTGTTCCCTGTCTCATCATGTGACATGCATGCATGCTTTCCAGTGTAATTGTAAGCTTCCAGAAGCCCTCACCAAAAGCAGATGCTGGTGCCATTCTTTTTGAACAGCCTGTAGAACCATGAACCAAACAAATTTATTTTCTAAAAATTACCCAGCCTTGGGTATTCCTTTATAGCAGCACCAAATAGACTAATATAATTACCTACTCCACATTTTTTTTTCTGCCTGTTGATTCCTTGCCTGTCATCACTGTAGAAGCTAAGAATGCCATGTACACACTTTCTAAGTCCTCCTTGAAGCTAAATGTGCCCACCTGACCTAGTTCGCGCAAATGATAAATAAGAACAATACTTCTGGGTGGAGTCTAGTGTTTTTCTTTAAATGGACACTGAAAGTCCATGAATGGGCTTTTACCACAAAGAAAATAGGCTTTCTTTCTGCATTGTGCATTTTAATATGATGACATGATACTTGAAAGTGCAGCAGCCATTGTGGCCAAATCAGGGGACCTATTGCCAATGTTAAGACAACTCAGCAGAAAAACTAAAAGAGCTGGATGGTACTGCTAATCCACTAAATCAATCATAAACTTTCCGGAAATCTCATTAATAAAACAATAACGTTCCTATAATTTAAGCCATTGTTAATGGTGTTTTCTGCTACATTTTTAAAGAAAGTAGCAGTAACTGTTTCAACTGTCTATGCCAGCTTATGACTGTTTTTTTTCCAGTGTCTTTCATTTCATATAAAATAACCTTCTTCTCTTTCCATTTTTTATACCATTTTTTAAAATCAGAACCACATCTAAGATGTCTTTCTTTTTGAAGCCTTTTCTTTCTTCATCATTCAGAGTTAGTTGCTCCTCAGGTATATTTGGTCATTGATTCAAAAAGTATTTATTGAGAATCTACTTTATGACAGACATTATACTAGATGCTAATAATTTAACATTAAAAATGATCTTTATGGAGCTTAAAGTTCATAGTACATGTAATTGGTTCCTTACCAGTATCCATTTCTCTATTTATTTCTACTGGAAGGGCTATCATTTTGTTCTGTTGTCCATTGTATTAGGCCATTCTTACACTGCTATAAATAAATACCTGAAACTACATAATTTGTAAGAAAAAATATTTAATTGGCTCCTAGTTCTGCAGGCTGTACAGCAAGCGTAGTGGCATCTGCTTTTTGAAAGGTTTCATGAAGCTGCCAATCATGGTGGAAAGCTAAGCAGGAACAGGCACTTCACATGGCAAAAGCAAGAATGTGTGTGTGTGTGTGTGAGAGAGAGAGAGAGAGAGAGGCAGAGATGTCACGCACTGTTAAATCACCAGATCACGTTTGAACTCAAAGTGAGAGCTCACTTATCACCAAAGAGATGGCCCAAGCCATTCCTGAGAGATCCACCTCCATGATCCAAACACCTCCTAAAAGACCGTATCTTCAACACTGAGGATTACAATTCCACATGGGATTTGAGTGGGGACAAATATCCAAATTATATCATTCTGCCTCTGGTTCCTCTAAAATATCATGTCTTTCTCATATTGCAAAATAGAATTTTACATTTCCAACAGTCCTTGATAGTCTTAATTCCTTCAAACATTAACTCAAAAGTACTAAGTCTCATCTGAGACAAAGCAAATACCTTCTATCTATGAGCCTGTAAAACCAAAAACAATTTAGTCACTTCTGAGATACAATGGTGGTATAGGCATTAGAAAAACATTGTCATCCAAAAGGTAGAAATCAGCCAAAGAAAAGGGGCTACAGGCCCCACACAATTGAGAGGTGGGCTCCCAAGGCCTTGGGCAACTCTACCCCTGTGGCTTTGTGGTTGTTGAGTGCCTACAGGTTTTCCAGGCACAATGAAAGCTGCCAATGGCTCTATCATTCTTGAGTCTGGAGAACAGTGGCCCCCTTCTCACAGCTCCACTAGGCACTGTCCCAGTGGGGACTTTGTGAAGGGGCTCCAACAAAACATTTCCCCTTCAGGCTGCCCTAGGAGTGGTTCTCTCTGGGGGCTCCACCCCTGCAGCAAGCTTCTGCATGGGCACCCAGGATTTTCTAAACATCCTATGAAATCTAGGTAGAGGCTACCATGCATTCTTCACCTTTGCATTATGCACATGTACAGGCTTGACACCACAAAGAAGCATTCTTCAAAGTGGCAGCCTGAGCTGTACCTGGGCCCCTTTGAGCTATGGCTAGAGTAGGTGAGATGTGGGAAGCAGTGTTATGAGGCTGCACAAATGAGTAGGACCCTGGACCTGGACAACAAAACCATTCTTTCCTCATAGGTCTCTGTGCCAGTAATGAGAGGGGCTGCGAAGTTCTCTGAAATGCTTTCTAGGCCTTTTCCCCCATTGTGTTGGCTATCAACACTTGGCTCCCTTTTAGTCACCCAAATTTTTCTAGCAAGTGGTTGCTGCACAGCCTGTTTGGACTCTTTTCCTGAAAATGAGATTTTTTTTTTCCACATGGCCAGGGGCCAAGGTGCATACTTTTCAAACTTATATGGTGGACCAGGCGTGGTGGCTCACGCCTGTAATCCTAGCACTTTGGGAGGCTGAGATGGGTGTATCACCTGAGGTTGGGAGTTTGAGACCAGCCTGACCAACATAGAGAAACCCCATCACTACTAAAAATACAAAATTAGCTGGGCATGGTGGTGCATACCTGTAATCCCAGCTACTCAGGAGGCTGAGGCAGGAGAATCATTTGAACCCGGGAAGTGGAGGTTGCAGTGAGCTGAGATCACACCATTTCACTCCAGCCTGGGCAACAAGAGTGAAATTCCATCTCAAAAACAAACAAACAAACAAAACTTATATACTGTACTTCTATTTTAAATATAAGTTCCAGCTTTAAGACATTTCTTTACTCCCACATCTGAGAATAGGTTGTTAGAAGAAGCAAAGCAGAATGCTTTGCTGCTTAGAATTTTTTTCCACCAGATACCCTAGGTCTCATCCATCTCAAGTACAAACTTGCATTAAAAATTAACGCATTTTTGTTACAACTTTTTAACCAGTCTATAAGAAATTCCATTTTCCCTCATCTTCCTGTCTTCTTCTGAGCCCTCCAAACTCTTCTAACTTCTGCTTGTTACCCAGTTCTAATGTCACACCCACATTCTCATATATCTTTATAGCAATGCCCCACTATTTGGTATCAATTTTCCATATAGTATTTCCAAATTTTCTATATTTCCATATTTATAGCATTCTTGCATTGCTATAAAGAAATATCTGAGACTAAGTAATTTATAAGAAAATAGATTTAATTGATTCATGGTTCTGTAGGTGGCACAGAAATCATAACAGAATCTGCTTCTGAATGAGGCTTCAAGAAACTTCCAACCAGGGCAGAAGGTGAAGCACGAGCAGGTACTTCATATGGAAAAAGCAAAACCAAGAGAGAGAGTGTGGAACAAGGTGCCACACACTTTTAAATGCGAGATCCTGTGCAAACTCAGAGCAAGAGCTCACTTATCACCAAGGAGAAGGATCATGCCTTTCATGAGGGATCTGCAACCATGACCAAAACATCTCCCACCAGGTCCCACACATCCAATATTGGGAATTACAACTGAACATGAGATTTGGGAAGGGACTAACATTCAAACTTTATCACCCATCCTTCCTCCATATAACATAGGATAATCAAACCATATCTGGAGCTCTAAGTCTAAATCATTGTTGCATTAAGTCCTTGTTCAGGTTATTTTGCTGTTAATTAATTTAGGGGTAAGCATATCATTCAGTTAATGCAAATGAAATGTGAGGGATGGTTTCCAGGAAAATTTTTCTCATTTCAGAAAAGGCAGTTTAATTTCATCTAGTAGAAATCTTTATATCTGTTTGCAATCCTTGACACTCATGCAGTGACCATCTTGCAACCACGAATAAAGCCAGACTAAAGGCAAAGAAAAACAAGTAAAGTAACAGAATATAGAGATAGAAACTAGGTTTTTGATGACATTGGTGATCTGCTCAATTGACCAACTCTAAAACATACTTTACCACAAAACTCCTTGCTGTGTAGCATAACAAATTCCCTTATTGAATGAGGCTGTTTGAGTCAAGATTTTCAGATACTTGAAGGTGATGATATTATAACTAACATACAGTCTGAGAAAATACAAGGGAAATATGGTAAGTGACAAACTCTAGAGGAAAAGGCTTTTGGACCTATTTTTAAAAAATGTACAGTCCCATAATAACTAGATTGCTCATTTAAGAGCACATAAATAGACAACAGAGAGTCATTCTTGCTGACTACTGGTATATAAATTATCTCACTACTAACCAATTTTCATTAGAGCATTGTAGCTTTTGGAGTACCAGTGGCAAGTTTGACTCAAATCATTATTCCGTTTCCTTTTGTGAGTGTCTATATGTTAGCTAGCCACTATTGGAGACATTTCTGTGAACATGAGACAAAAGATCGCTAATTACATGATAAGGGAGTCCTGGACTATTACCTTATTTGTATTGACCTCTAATATGCTGAGTTAACTTGCTATGGATTTCCCAGCCCACTTAATATGCTGGAATAGTCAATATATGTTACAAAATTAACACTAGGTTTTAAATGCATGGGGTTTCCATTCCTATTATACTTTTGTGCCATCTAAGCTTTTCTAGTCTTTTGGCATTTGGTATTAACTTTATGCAAAAATTTGCCATTTTTAATTATCCTGGTAATACTAGTAAAATATTTTCACATAAAAATTTAACTGCACATGCAAACTACCAGAGTTATAATTTAGAAAGTTATATCCACCAAGACATATTTATAATGTACCCTTTTTTCTCACAGATGATATTTTTTATATTCAGAATTTTCATTTTTCATGTTCATTCAAAGGTCAAGGCCATTGCATATAAGTTGGCTTAATCAATTTGATAATGGGTACTGTCTGAGATTTTTAATTTATTTAGTATTCTTGGGCCAAGAATTCAAAGGCCACCTGCATATTTCCAAGTTTATGAAGCTTACACCTGAATTTGGGGAGTTGGTTGGATAGAAGGAAACATCTCAAAGAAAATATCCAACAGGCTGGAACAGAGCAGGTTGAGGCCAGAGATTAACAAGAAGGTAGTTCTCATGGAAATTAAAATATACATTTTAATTATTCTATACATGTTAAAAATAATATTTATATTTTGGACTTAAACTGGACATAAACATAAATCTCTCCATTTTTTTCCTCTGAACTTTGATTGTGACAGTCAAATAAATTAAAAATGTTTAAATAGGATTATAGTGGCATTTTACTCAAATGTAAGATCCCATATAGTCCACAATTGAATATTACTGGCTAATTCTTAACATTTTTATAAGAAATTCTAAACACCAAATGTTGTGCTTTATAATTGTACTCTAGGACCTCTTCTCTTTTCTCTTGACATCAGGAGGTCTTATGCTTGGTTCCACAAATTCCCAACATGTACAGAGTTTCAGAAATTCCATACAGGTGTCAGCAAGTTGAAATATATGTATTTGCATAGATGTATTTTTTGGGAGAGAATTCCATTGTTTTCATAAAAAGGATTCATAACCCACACATTATTAAGAACAACTTCTCTAAATATTGTTTTAGGATGGTAATTGCTGCCACTTCCACAGGTTTTATTAATCCAATATACTGATGCTATCTACACCTGTATTTTCAGTTCAATCCTTTCTCTTGAGTTCCAGGTTCCTATATTTAACTTTCTGATGAATATATTTGTTTTTATAAATCACAGTCACTTAAAGCTCATATATCTCAAACTAAATTCATTATCTTTCCCTTTTGCTCTTGTTCACATCTTTTTATCTTCGGGTTTCTATCTCAGACAATGGCCTTATCACCCATCCTGTTCAAATCGGAAAACCAGGCACTGTCTAATTTCTTATCTCTTATCAACCCACTCTGATACCAATAATTACTTCCTAAAGCTTATCCTACTTAAATATCTTCTGAACCTATCAATTTTCTCTATCCTTACTGCCACTATTCTAGTTCAGACTAATATAAAATCCTTAGATTTTTAACAGTTTCCTAACTGATAATGTAGTCTCTAGATTTTCCCTGTTCTGATCCACTCTAATCCACACTGCAGAAAAATTATCTTCCCAAAACAAAATTTGATTATGCCATTCACTCACTGGTTATTTCCTATTGCACTTACAATACAAGCAAAACTACCCAGTATGACCTACAACATGACCTTACATGATTGATATGGTTTGGCTCTGTGTCCTCAGTCAAATCTCATCTCGAATTGTTTTCCCTGTATGTCAAGGGAGGGACCTACAATTCCCATGTGTCCAAAGAGGGAGGTGATTGGATCAGGGTGGGTGTTTTGCCCGTGTTTTTCTCATAATAGTGGGTGAGTTCTCATGATATCTGATAATTTTTTAAGTGTTTGAAAGTTCCTTCTTCACTCTTTTCTTTTCTGTCAACTTATGAAGAAAGTGCCTGCTTCCCCTTCTGCCACGATTGTCAGTTTCCTGAGGCCTCCCCAGCCATGCGGAACTGTGAGTCAACTAACTAAACCTCTTTCCTTTATAAATGGCTCAGTCTCAGGGAAGTTCTTTATAGCAGTGTAAAACCGGACTAAGACAATGAATGATCTGTTTAAAAAAATCCAGCCTCAACTTCTTTCACTAATCTACTTATATTGAATACTTCTGGCATACTTAACTGTTTTCAAAAGCCCAAATATTTCCTGAACCCTTTTACCTCCTGGCTTTTGCACATCTGTTTCCCTTTCTTTGTAGAAACACTCCTCAATCTCTATGTTCAACATACTCATACATATGTTGTTACCTAAATCTTACTTGTGGATTTATAGCTCTTAATTTAGAAGTTACTTAACCCAGAATGCCCTTCATATCACCCCCCTAATTTTTCATTGGGCATTCCTATGTGTTGTCATAGCATTCTGTCTTTACTTGTGATAGTACTTATTACTTTCTATAGTTATCACCTATTTCCTTACTTTCTTTTCTATATGCCTCTCTAGAGTTAAGTTCTTGGAGAACAGGTATTGTGCCTGTATGTTTCATGGTAGTATTTAGCCCTAACGTTAGGTTTAAATGCACCAGTGCAACATAGTATCTGAGATATCTTCTGATTGGTCAGAAATCTGTTATGAGTTGTTGGTAGATAATGCTTATTAAATATTATGAATTTCATTCTTAGTTGTATCACCAGCATCTAGCACATCAGCCTTATTTAGAAGCAGAGACTTAATAACTTCTAATTATAGGTTTGGATTTATTTCATGTTGAAAAAACCTTCAATAATCTCAGAACTATATTTAGAAAGCTCTTTATGGAGTCTGAAATTAGTAACCAGCTATAAGCCCTTTATCTAGTGAAGTGTTTCTTATAGTCCAAGTCATCTGCATAAAAACAACTTGAGATTGTGTATTAATGAGCTTGGCCATGCTATAACAAGATACCACAGATTGTGCGACATAAACAACAGAAATTTATTTTGTCAAAGTTATGGAGGCTACAAGTTCAAGATTATGGTGTCAGCAGTGTTGGTTTCTGCTGAGGCTTCTATTCCTGGCTTGTGAATGGCTGCCTCCTTACTGTGTCCTCACATCGCCTTTCTTTTTGTGTGTGCATGGAGAAAGAGAGATGTCTATGGTGTCTCTTCCTATTCTTTTTATTTGTTATTTTCAGTTTTAGTTGTTATGGGTACATAGTAGGTGTATGTGTTTATGGAGTATATGAGATGTTTTGATACAGGTATGCAATGTGAAATAAGCACATTATGGAGAATGTGGTATCCATCTCCTCAAGTATTTATTTTTTGAGTTACAAACAATCCAATTACACTCTTTAAATTATTTCAAAATGTATTGTTATTATTGACTATTGTTATCCAGTTGTGTTATCAAATAGCAGGTCTTATAAATTCTTTCTATTTTTTTGTACCAGTTAACCACCGCTACCTTTCCCTCAGAACCACACTACCTTTCCCAGTCTCTAGTAACCATCCTTCAACTATGTCCAAGAGTTTAATTGTTTCGATTTTTAAATTCCACAAATAATTGAGAACATGCAATGTTTGTCTTTCTGAGCCTGTCTTATTTTACTTAATATTATAATCTCCAGTTTCATCCATGTTATTGTAGTAACTGGATTTTATGATTTTTATGGCTGAATAGTACTCCAATTGTATATATGGACCATATTTTCTTTATCCATTCATCTGTTGATGGACATTTAGATTGTTTCCAAATATTAGCTATTGTAAACAGTGCTGCAACAAACACAGAAGGTCAGATATCTCTTCAATATACTGATTTCCATTCTTTTGGGTACATACCCAGCAGTGGGAGTGCTGGGTAGCACTATGCTTGATTATATGGTAGCTGCATTGGTACCCAGATTATATGGATTTTTAGTTTTCTGTAGAACTTCCAAGATGTTCTGCATAGTAGTTGTACTAATTTACACTCCCATCAACAGTGTACAAGGGTGGCCCTTTCTCCACATCCTTGCTAGCATTTGTTATAACCTGCCTTTTGCATGTAAGCCATTTTAATTGGGGTAAGATGCTATCTCTTTGCAGTTTTGATTTGCATTTCTTTGATGATCAATGATGTTAAGCACATTTTCATATGCCTGGTTGCCGTTTGTATGTCTTCTTTGAAGAAATGTCTGTGCAAATTATTTGCCCAATTTTGATGATATTATTTGACTTTTTTTCCTATATCGTTGTGGGAGCTCTTCATATATTCTGGTTATTAATCCTTTGTCAAATGAGTAGTGTGCAAATATTTTCTCCTATTCTGTGGGTTATTTCTTCACTTTGTTGATTGTATCCTTTGCCGTACAGAAGCTTTTTAACTTAATGTGATCCCACTTTTCAATTTTTGCTTTGGGTGCCTGTGCTTGCGGATTATGGCTCAAGAAATTTTTGACCCAACCAATGTCCTTAAGATTTTTCCCTAAGTTTCCCCATAGTAGTTTCATGATTTGAGGTCTCATATTTAAGTTTTCAATCTATTTTGATTTTATTTTTGTGTATGGTGAGAGATGGAGGAGTAGTTTTATTCTTCTGTATGAGGATATACAGTTTTTTCTAGCACCCTATATTGAAGAGACCCTCCTCTCCGCAGTGTATGTTCTTGGTATATGGATCCCTTTCTGGGTTCTCTATTCTGTTTTATTGGTCTATGTGTCTTTTTTATGCCAGTACCATGCTGTTTTGGTTACTATACCTCTGTAGTATAATTTGAAATCAGGTAATTTGATTTCTCCAGTTTTGTTATTTTTGCATCAGATAACTCTGTCTGCTCTGGGTCTTTTGTGTTTCCCTATACATTTTAGGATAGCTTTTTCTATTTTTGTGAAGAATGTCATTGATATTTTTATAAGAATTGCATTGAATCTATAGATTGCTTTGGGTAATATAAACATTTTAACAATATTTATTCTTCCAATTCACAATCATAGCATAGTTTTCCATTTTTAGGTGTCCTATTCAATTTTTTTATCACTGATTTATGTTTTTTATTATAGAGATATTTCACTTACTTGATTAATTACCAGATACTTTTATGTGTGGCCATTGTAAATAGAATTACTTTTTAAACATTTTTTTTTTACATTTTTCACTGTTGGCATATAGAAATGCTACTGATTTTTGTATGCTAATTTTCTATCCTGCAACTTTACTTAATTTGTTTGTCATGTCCAATAGTTTTTTTGTGGAGTCTTTAGGTTTTTTTCTAATATAGATTATACCATTTGCAAACAATGATAATTTGACTTCTTCCATTCCAATTTTGATGGATGCAATATCTGTTTTTTGATTGTTCTAGCCAAGATTTTCAATACTATATTGAAATAACAATAGTAACAGTTGACATCTTTGTTGTGTTCCAGATCTTAGAGCAAAGGCTTCTAGTTTTTCCCCATTCAGTATGATACTTGAAGTGGGTCTGTCATATATGGATTTTATATTGAGGTATGTTCCTTTTATACCCAGTTTTTTGATGGTTTTTGTCATGAAAGGATGTTGAAATTTATCGAATGCTTCTCCAGCATCAATTGAAATGATCATATGGTTCTTATCATGTATTCTGTGATATGCTCTATTACACTGATTGATCTGTGTATATTAAACAATCCTTGCATCTAAGGGATAAATCCCACTTGATTATGATCAATAATCTTTCTAGTGTATTGTTTAATTCAGTTTTCTAGTATTTTCTTGAGGTTTTTTCCATGAATATTCATGAGATTTTGACCTGCAGGGTTTTCTTCTTGGTGTGTTTTTCTGGCTTTTGTATCATAGTAACACTAGACTCATAGAATTAGTTTGAAAGTATTCCCTCCTTTATTTTTTAGAATAGCGTTTGTAGGATTGGTATTAGTTATTCTTTAAATGTTTGGTAGAATTTAGCAATGAAGCCATCAGATCCTGGGCTTTTATTTACTTGAAGATTTTTGTTATGGCTTCAATCTCATTACTTGTTATTGGTCTGTTCAGGTTTTGGATTTCTTTCTGGTTCAATATTGGCAGGTTTTTTGTATCTAGGAATTTGTCCATGTCTTCCAGATTTTCTAGTTTATTGCCATATAGTTTCACACAGTAGCCAGTAATGGTCCTTTGAATTTCTGCAATAACAGTTGTAATGTCTACTTTTTCATCTCTGATTTTATTTATTGGTTCTTCTCTCTTTTTTTCTTGTTTAGTCTGGCTAGTTTGTCAACTTTGTTAAACTTTTCAAAAAACAACCTTTTTATTTCATTGATCTTTTGTATTGTTTTTTATTTCAAATTCATTTATTTCTGCTCTGATTTTTATTATTTCTTTTCTTCTAATTTTGGGTTTGGTTGGCGCTTGCTCTTCTAGTACTTTAAGACACACTGTCAGATTGTTTATTTTGAGGTTTGTCCTCCTTTTTTAATGTAGGCACTTACACCTATAAACTTCCCTCTTTGTACTACTTTTGTGGTATACCATTGATTTTGATATGTTTGGTTTCCATTAACATTTGTTTCAAAAGTTCTTCTTTTGTACTTTTTGTTTTTATTTAACTTTTTAAAAAATTGCAGAGGTGCATGTGCAGGTTTGTTATTTAGGTAAACTTGTGTCATGGAAGTTTGTTGTGCAGACTATTTCATCACCCAGGTATTAAGCCTAGTATCTATTAATTACTTTTTTCTGATCCTCTCTCTCCTTCCACCCTTTACTTTCTAATAGGCCCCTGTGTAGGTTGCTTCTCTCCATGTTTCCATGTGTTCTCTTCATTTAGCTCCCACTTATTAGTGAGAACAAGCTGTATTTGGTTTTCTTTATACGCATTAGTTTGCTAAGGATAATGGCCTCCAGCTTCATCCTTGTTTTCGCAAAGGACATGATCTCATTTTTTATAGCTGCATACTACTCTATCATGTATATGTACCAAAAATTTTTTATCCATTCTACCATTGATGGTCATTTAGGTTGATTCCATGTATTTGATATTGTAAATAGTCCTGCAGTGATCACACATGTGCATGTGTCTTTATGATAGAATGATTTATATTCCTTTGGGTTTATAGCAAGTAATGGGGTTGCTGGCTCAAATGGTATTTCTGCTTTTAGGTCTTTGGGGGATTGCCATGCTGTCTTCCACAATAGTTGAACTAATTTGCACTTTCACAAAGAGTGTATAAGTGTTTCTCATTCTCTGAAGCCTCATGATCTGTTTTTTTTTTTTTTAACTTTTTAATAGTAGTCATTCTGACCGGTGTGAGATGGTATCTCATAATTTTGATTTTCATTTATCTAATGACTAGTGATGTTGTGCTTCTTTATATGCTATAGGCCACATGCATGTCTTTTTTTTTTTTTTTGAAAAGTGTTTGTTCATGTTCTTTATCCACTCTTTAATGGGTTTTTTTCTTGTAAATTTGTTTACGTTCCCTATAGATGTTGGCTTTTAGACCATTGTCAGATGCATAGTTTGCAAAAATTTTCTCCTATTCTGTAGTAGATTGTCTGTTCACTCTGTTGCTACTTTCCTTTGCTGTGCAGAATGTCTTCAGTTTAATTAGATCCCATTTGTCAATTTTTGCTTTTGTTGCAATTGCTTTTGGCATCTTTGTCATGGAATATTTTTTCATTCCCGCGACCATAAGGATATTGCCTAGGTTGTCTTACAGGGTTTTATAGTTTTGGGTTTTACATTTAAATCTTTAATCCACCTTGAATTGGCTTTTGTATATGGTGTAAGAAAGGGGTCCAGTTTCATCTTCTGCATATGGGTAGCCAGTTATTCCAGCACCATTTATTGAATAGAAAGTCTTTTCTTTATTGCTTATATTTGCCAGCTTTGTTGAAGATCAGAAAGTTGTAAGTGTGCATCCTTATTTCTGTGATCTCTATTCAGTTCCTTGTGTCGATGTGTCTGTTTTTGTACCAGTACCATGTCTTTTTGGTTACTGTAATCGTGTAACATAGTCTGAAGTCAGGTAGGGTGATGCCTTCAGCCTTGTTCTTTTTGTTTAGAATTTTCTTGGCTATTCATGCTCCATTTTAGTTTCATACTAAATAATTGTAAAGTAGCTTTTTCTAGTTCTCTAAAAAATGTCATTGGTAGTTTAATTGGAATAGGGTCAAATCTACAAATTTCTTTGGACAATATGGCCAATTTAATGGTATTGCTTCTTCCTATCCATGAGCATGAAATGTTTTTATTTGTTTGTGTCATCTCGGATTTCTTCGAGCAGTGTTTTTAGTTCTTCCTGTAGATACTTTTTGCTTCCCTTGTTAGCTGTATTTCCAGGCAGTCTTTTGTGTGTGGCAGTCATGAATGAGATTGCATTTCTAATTTGGCTCTTGGCTTAACTGTTATTGACCTATAGGGAGGCTATATATATATAGATTTTTAATTCTGAGACTTTGCTGAAGTTGTTTATTAGCTTAAGAAGCTTTTGGGCTGAGACTATGGGGTTTTCTAGATATAGGCTTATGTCATCTACAAACAGGAATAGTTTGACTTCTTCTCTTCCTATTTGATGCCCTTTATTTCTCTTTCTATTGCCTAATTGCTCTGAGCAGAACTTCTAATTCTGTGTTGAATAAGAGTGGTGTGAGAGCACATTCTTTTGTTGTGCCAATTTTCGAGAGGAATCCTTCCAGCTTTTGTCCATTGAATAGGATATTATCTGTGGTTTTGTCATAGATGGCTCTTATTCTTTTGAGGTATGTTCCTTTAATACCTAGTTTTTTTTTTTAAGAGTATTTAACATAAAGCAGTGCTGATTTTTATTGAAAGCTTTTTCTGTATCTATTGAGGTAATTATGTGTTTTTGTGTGTGTGTTGAGTTCTATTTATGTGATGAATCACATTTATTGATTTGCATATGTCTAACCCATTTTGCATCCCAAGGATAAAGCCTATTTGATTGTAGAAAATAAATATTTGATATGCTGCTGGATTCAGTTAGCAAGTATTTTGTTGAGGATTTTTGCTTTGATGTTTATTAAGGGTATTGGCCTGAAGTTTTTTTGTTGTTTGGTCTCTCCCAAGTTTTTGGTATCAGGATGATGTTTGCCTCATAGAATGAGTTACAGAGGAAGTCCTCCTCCTCAATATTTTGGAATAGTTTCAGTAGGAATGGTACCAGCTCTTTTTTGTACATCTGGTAGAATTCAGCTTTAAATTTGTCTGGTTCTTGGCTTTCTCTAGTTGGGAGGCTATTTATTTCTGATTCAAATTCAGACCTTGTTATTTGTCTATTCAGTGATTCAATTTCTTTCCTGGTTCAATACTGTGAGGAGGTATGAGTCCAGAAAATGTATCCACTTCTTTTTGATTTTCTACTTTATGTCTAGTGGTGTTCCTAATATTCTCTGATGGTTTTTATATTTCTGTGGGGTTAATGTTAATGACCCTCTTGTCATTTCTGATTGTGTTTATTTGGATCTTCTCTCTTTTCTTCTTTAATAAGTTAGCTAGAAGTCTATCTATTTTATTGTATTTTCAAAAAATAAACAGCTCCTGGATTTGTTGATCTTTTGAATTATGTGTGTGTGTGTGTATGTGTGTGTGTGTGTGAGTGTGTGTGTGTTTCTCAGTCTCCTTCAGTTCGGCTCTGATTTTGTTATTTCATTTCTCACGCTAGCTCTGTGGTGGCTTTTCTCTTTGTTCCTGAGTTCTTTCAGTTGTGATGTTAGATTGTGAAATTGAGATCTTTCTAACTTTTTGATGTGGGTATTTAGTGCTATAAATTTCTTTTTAACACTGCCTTAGCTGTGTCTTAAAGATTCTGATGTGTTGTATCTTTGTTCTCATTAGTTTCAAATAACTTCTTAGTATCTGCTTTAATTTCATTATTTACCTAAAAGTCATTTGGCAGCAAGTTATTCAATTTCCATGTAATTGTATGGTTTTGAGTGGATTTCTTAGTCTTGACTTCTAATTTGATTGTGCTGTGGTCTGAAAGATTGGTTGTTATGATTTTTGTTTTTCTGCATTTGCCAAGTGGTGTTTTACTTCCCATGTTTTATTGATTTTAGAGTATATGCCATATGGTGATAAGAATGAATATTCACTTGTTTTGAGGGAGAGAGTTCTGTAGGTATGTTTTCTGGTCCATTTGATCTAGTGCTGAGTTCAGGTTCTAAATATCTTTGTTAATATTCTATCTTGATGGTCTATCTAGTATTGTCAGTGGGATGGTAGAATCTCCCACTATTTTCGTGTGGGAGTCTAAGGTTTTTTGATGGTCTCTAAAAACATGCTTTATGAATCTGAGTGCATTTGTGTTTGGTGCATATATACTTAGAATAGTTAAATCTAATTGAATTGAATCCTTTACCAATATGTCATGCTCTTCTTTATCTTTCTTGATCTTTTTTGGTTGAAAAACTGTTTTATCTGAAACTTGGATTGTAACCCCTGCTGTTTTCCATTTTTTATTTTCTTGGTAGATTTTTCTTCACTTCTTTATTTTGAGCCTATATGTGTCATTGCATGTGAGATTGTTTTTTTGAAGACAGCATACCAATGCATCTTGGTTCCTTATTCAGCTTTCTACTCTGTGCCTTTTAATTGACCATTTAGCCCATTTGTATTTGAAGTTTGTATTGATATATTTCAATTGGATTTTGTCATCATGATGTTAGCTGGTTATTATGCAGACTTGTTTATATGGTTGCTGAAGCCTGAATTATCAACTCAGTAAATAAAATACTGGGAAAATATTAAATAATAAAGTGTACACCACAAGATAATAATATAAGCTTCAAGATATTCCTGTCATTCCAACCCCACAGGAGACAGTAAACTTGCCCACACACCAAGTACGTAACTACTACAGCCAGCATCTGGGAAAAACAGCACACAAAGATTCTCTATAACTAAGGAATTCATATGGAGTCATCACCCCTAAAAGCACCAATAATCAAATTAGGCTAAAATAAACTATAAACATTAAAGTCAGATCCTTATAAGAGAAGAAAAAAAAAAACTAAAACAAAAAACAGTTCAATCAAAAATAAATTCTAGAACAATTTAAATAAATAGTCTACCCAAATAAGAAGAAAACAGAAAAGTAATTCTGGTAATACGGGTTTTACAACACCCACCCCCCCAAAAAATCACACCATCTCCCCAGCAATGGATCCAACCAAGAAATCTCTGAAATACCAGACAAAAAAATTCATAAGGTTGATTATTAAGATACTCAAGAAGATATCAGAGAAAGTTTCAAACCAACTTAAGGAATTTTTCTTTTAAATCCAGCCTATGAATGAAACACTTTTCAGAGAAATAGATACTATTTAAAAAAAAATCAGAACTCCTGAAAATGAAAGACACACCTTGGAAAATACAAAATTCAGTGGAATTTTTTAACCATAGACTAGAACAAGTAGAAGAAAGAATTTCAATGCTCGAAGACAAGGCTTTCAAATTCACTCAATTAGACAATGACAAAGTAAAAAGAATTAAAAAATAAACAAAGTCTCTAAGAAATATGGGACTATGTAAAATGGCCAAACCTAAGAATAATTGGTGTTTCTGAAAGAGAAGAGAAGTCTAAAAGTTTTTTTTTTTTTAATGTATTTGAGGAAATAATTGAGGAAACTCTGGTCTTGCTAGACATGTAGACATCCAAAAACAAGAAGCTCCAGGAACTCCTGGGAAATTTATTGCAAAGAGATCACCATCAAGTCACATAGTCATCAGGCTATCTAAAGTCAATAGGAAGAAAAGAATCTTAAGAGCTGTGAGGCAAAAGCATTAGGTAACCTATAAAGGAAAACCTGCCAGACTAAGAGCAGGTTTCTCAGCAGAAACATTACAAGCCAGAAGGGATTGGGGTCTTATCTGTAGCCTCCTTAAAGAAAATAATTGTCAGCCCAAAATTTTGTATCCAGTGAAACTAAGCTTCCTAAATGAAAGAGAAATAAAGTCTCTTTCAGACAAACAAATGTTGAGAAAATTTCCCACCACCAAACCAGCACTACAAGAAATGCTAAAGAAGACAGAGAAGGTAGCCTATTAGAAGCAGCTGTGGTCCGTGGCAGTTATGGAGAGGAATGAAAAGGGGCAAGTGAATTCAACACCTTCAACAGACATATCCAGGTTCTTGCATTGGGACTGAATAGGCAAGCAACTCGGACCCACGGAGAGCAAGGACAAGCAGGGGTGGGGGTGACAGCTCACCCGGGAGCAGCGTGGAGCCAAAGGAACCCCCATCTCCAGCCAGGGGAAGTGGTGAGTAATTGTGTGACCTGCCCAGGAAGCCATGCTTCTCCCACAAATCTTTGCAACCTGTGGACCAGGAGATCCCCTCGAGATGCCACACCACCATCTCTTGGGTCTGATACACAGAGCTGTGTGAACTCTTGGCAATATAGCTGCTCAGGAGCACACAGAGACCCAGAAGCTTTGCGTGCTCTGGTCCCAGGATCCCCGCCAAGGTGGAAAATACATCCATACATAGCCTTAGGAAGGGGAATGAATACAGGGAGCCAAGCAGCATTATTCTGTAAGCCTCACTTCCATGGCACCTCATGGGTTAAGACCCACTGGCTTGGAATCCCAGCCAGCCACCAGCAGAGGGCTGAAGTCCTTTAGAGACAGAACCAAATTTCCAGTGGGAGGGGCAGCCGCCATCTCTGAGGTTCTGGAGACTCTGCCATTCCAGTTTGCCAGCTGTGGATAGTGCAGATGGTCCAGACAAAGAGGGGCCCCTCACAGTCCAGTGCAGTGGCCTTTTCAGATAGTGGCCAGAGTACTTCTTTAAGCAGGACCCCAATCCAGTCCTCCTCAATAGGTGGGACCTCCCTGCGCAGGCTTCAGCGACTCCAGCCAGGGTTCTATGGATAAAGCTCGGATCTCTTCCTGGGACAGAGCTCTTGTGGAGAAGGTTGGCTATCATCTCTGCAGTTTGGTCGACTAAGCTATTCCAGCCCACCAGCTTTTTTTTTTTTTTTTTTTTTGAGATGGAGTCTTGCTCTGTCACCCAGGCTGGAGTGCAGTGACGCGATCTCTGCTCACTGCAAGCTCCGCCTCCCGGGTTCACTCCATTCTGCTGTCTCAGCCTCCCCAGCAGCTGGGACTACAGGCACACGCCGCCACGCCCGCTGATTTTTTTGTATTTTTGGTAGAGACGGGGTTTCACCATGTTAGCCAGGATGGTCTCGATCTCCTGACCTCGTGATCCACCTACCTCGGCCTCCCAAAGTGCTGGGATTACAGGCATGAGCCACCCCGCCCGGCCAGCCCACCAGCTTTTAAGAAAACAAATGGTGCAGATTAGTAAGGTTACCCACAATGTAGCATACCTCTTCTACCAAACAACAGCCAGACTGCTTATTTAAGCAGGTCCCTGATCCCATTCCTCCTGAAAGATATCTACAGAACTCTCCATCCCCAAACAACAGAATATACATTCTTCTTATCACCACAGGGCATTTACTCTAAAATTGATAACATAATCTGAAGTAAAACACTCCTCAACAAATGCAAAGGAACTGATATCATAACAAAGTCTCTCAAACAACAGCACAAATTAGAACCAAATATTAAGAAATTCACACAAAACCACACAACTACATGGGAATTGAACAACCTGCTCATAAATGACTCTTGAGCAAATAATGAAATTAAGGCATAAATTAAGAACTTCTGGAAAACTAATGAGAACAGAGACAATGTACCAGAATCTCTGAGACACAGCTAAAGCAGGGTTAAGAGGGAAATTTATAGCACTAAATGACCACATAAAAAAAGCTAGAAAGATCTCAAATTGACAACCTGACATCACAACTAAAAGAACTAGAGAACCAAGAGCAAACAAACCCCAAAGCTAACAGAATATGAAAAAAATTAAGATCAGAGCTGAACTGAAGGAGATAGAGACATGAAAATCCCTTCTAAACATCAACAAATCCAGGAGCTGTTTTTTTCTTTTTTAAAAAAATTAGTAAAATAGACCACTAGCTAGACTAATAAGAGAGAATAATCAAATAAACAAAATAAGAAATAAGAGGGATATCACCACTGACACCACAGAAATACAAGCAACCATCGGAGAATACTATAAACAACTCTATGCACATAATCTAGAAAATCTAGAAGAAAGGGGCAATTTCCTGTACAAATGCAGCCTCCTAAAACTGAACCTGGAAGAAATTGAATCCCTGAATAGACCAATAATGTGTTCTGAAATCGAGGCAGTAATAAATAGCCTACCAACCAAAAAAAGCCCAGATCCAGACAGATTCACAGCTGAATTCTACCAGAGGTACAAAGAAGATCTAGTACCATTTCTACTGAAACTATTCCAAACAATTGAAGAGGAGGGACTCCTCCCTAATTCATTATATGAGGCCAGTATCATCCTGATAACACAACCTGGCAGAGACACAACAACAACAACAACAACAACAACAAAACTTCACGTCAATATCCTTGATGAACATCAATACAAAAATCCTCAATAAAATAATGGCAAACCAAATTTAACAGCACATCAAAAAGCTTATCCACAATGATCAAATTGGCTTTATCTCCAGGATGCATGGTTGATTCAACATATGCAAATCAGTAAATGCAATTCATCATATAAACAGAACTAAAGGCAAAAACCACATGAATATCTCAATAAATGCAGAAAAGAGCTTTGATAAAATTCAACATCCTTTCATGTTTACAACTCTCAAAAAATTAGGTATTGAAGAAACATATCTCATATGCAATAAACTCACAACCAGTATCATTCTGAATGGGCAAAAGCGGGAAGCATTTTACTTGAAAACTGGAACAAGACAAAACTTCCATTCAACATAGTATTGGAAGTTCTGTCCAGGGCAATCAGGCAAGAGAAAGAAATAAAGGTATTCAAACAGGAAAAGAGGAAGCCAAACTATCTTTTTTGCAAATGACATGATTCTATATCTAGAAAACCTCATTGTCTCAGCCAGAAAGCTTCTTAAGCTGATAAGCAACTTCAGCAAAGTCTCTGGGTGCAAAATCCATGTGAAAAAATCACTAGCATTCCTATACACAAAAAACAGGCAAGCCAAAAGCCAAATTATTAATAAACTCTGATTCACAATTGCCACAAAAACAATAAAGTGCCTATGAATACAGCTAACAAGGGAAGTGAAGGACCTCTTCAAGGAGAACTATAAGCTACTTCTCAAGGAAATCAGAGATGACACAAACCAATGAAAAAACATTCCATGCTCATGAATAGGAGGAATCAATATTGTGAAAATGGCCATACTGCCCAAAGAAATTTATAGATCAATGCTATTATCATTAAACTAACATTGTCATTCTTCACATAATAAGAAAAAATTATTTTTAAAATTCATATGGAAACAAAAAAGATCCCAAATAGCCGATACAATCTTAAGCAAAAAGATTATACTACAAAGCTACAGTAATCAAAAGAGCATGGTACAATAACAGACACATAGACCAATGGAACAGAAGGGAGAACACAGGAAATAAGATTGCACACCCGTAACCATCAGATATTCAACAAACCTGAACAAAACAAGCAATGGGGAAAGGATTCCCTATTTAATAAATGGTGCTGGGAGAACTGGCTAGCCATATGCAGAAAATTGAAATTGCACCCCCTTCCTTACACCATATACAAAATCAACTCAAGATGGATTAAAGACTTAAATGCAAAACCCAAAACTATAAAAACCCTAGAAGACAATATAGGCCATACCATTCAGGATATAAGCATGGACAATGATTTCATGACAAAGACGTCAAGAGTAATTGCAACAAAAGCAAATATCAACAAATGGGATCTACTTAAATTAAAGAGCTCCTGCACAGCAAAAGAAACTATCATCAGAATGAATAGACAACCTATAGAATAACAGAAAATTTTTGCAATATATTTAACAGACTAAAGTCTAATATCCAGCATCTAAAAGAAACTTAAACAAATTTACCAGAAAAAAATAAACAACCCCATTAAAAAGCAGGGAAAGGACATGAACAGACACTTCTCAAAAGCAGACATTTATGCAGCCAGCAAACATATGAAACAAAGTTCAACATCACTGATCATTAGAGAAATGCAAATCAAAACCATGAGATACCATCTCACACCAATAAAAATGACTATTATTAAGAAGCCAAAAAACAACAGATGCTGGCGAGGTTGTGGAGAAAAAGGAGTGCTTTTACGGTGTTGGTGGGAGTGTAAATTAGTTCAACCATTGTGGAAGTCAGTGTGGCGATTCTTCAAAGACCTAGATACAGAAATATCATTTGACTTAGCAATCCCATTACTGGGTTTGGTATACCCAAAAGAATATAAACCATTCTATTATAAAGATACATGCATGTGTATGTTCATTGCAGCACTATTCACAATAGCAAAGACATGGAATCTACCTAAATGCCCATCAGTGATAGACTGGATAAAGAAAATATGGTACATATACACCATGGGATACTATGCAGCCATTAAAAGGAACAAGATAATGTCCTTTGCAGGAATGTGGATGCAGCTGGATGCCATTATCCTCAGCCAACTAACACAGGAACAGAAAATCAAATACTGCACGTTCTCATTTGTAAGTGGGAGTTGAATAATAAGAACGTATGGACGCATGGGAGGGGAAAACCCACACTGGGGTCTGCTGGAGAGTGAGGGGTGGGAGAAGGGAGAGCATCAGAAAGAAGAGCTAATGGATAGTGGACTTAATACCTAGGTGATAAGATGATCTGTGCAGCAAACCACCATGTCAGACGTTTACCTATGTAACATACCTGCACATCTTGCACATGTACCACTGACTTAAAAGTTGGAAAGAAGGCATAACTTTACGAATTAATAATTTTTAATCATATATATTTTGGTTTGATGCATGTACTACTTGATCCATTTTAATAAAAACAACAATATTATTGGGGTGAAAGAATATTTTATGCATAATACGACATGTACAAAAACTGTCAGAAAAGGACATTTACAAGTAAACATGAATAATACATTAAATGTTTTTTTGATGTCCAGTCGATTTTCCCTCATGTGCTCTGCTTGAGAGAACATTGCTCTAGGGGCAGTGATGAAGCAGTAGTGTTTTTTAAGACCTGAAGAAGGCAGGACTTATATTCTTATTTAATTTTTATTTTAAGTTTAGGGATAAACATGCAGGTTTGTTATATAGGTAAACTCGTGTCATTGGGGTTTGTTGTACAGATTATTCTGTCACCCAGGTATTAAGCCTGGTACCCATTAGTTATTTTTCCTCATTCTCTCTCTTCTTCCACCCTCCATACTCCAATATGACCCAGTGTGAGTTGCTCCAATCTCTGTGTCCATGTGTTCTCATCATTTAGCTCCCACTTATAAGTGAGGACATGCAGTATTTGGTTTTCTGTTCCTGAATTAGTTTGCTAAGGATAATGGTTTCCAGCTCCATCCGTGTTCCTGCAAATACATGATCTCATTCTTTGTTATGTCTGCATAGTATTCCATTGTGTATATGTACCACATTTTCTTTATCCAGACTACCATCGATGGGCATTTAGATTGATTTCATGTCTTTGCTATTGTGAATAGTGCTGCAATGAACATACACATGCATGTATCTTTATAATAGAATGATTTATATTCCTTTGGGTATATATCCAGTAATGGAATTGCTGGGTCAAATGATATTTTTGTGTTTAGGTCTTTGAGGAATTGAAAACAGGACTTTTAAGAGCAATTAAAGTAGTCATAATTCTTTTCCTCCCTTCTAAATTGTTGTCATTTATTTTTTGTTTGGCTTATATACACATAGTATTTACAAATTGCATATATTTGTCCCAGATATAACTGCTTTAAATTTCCCTTATTTTACAGGTTAAAGAAACAAATTACAGACCAACAACATTTTTATTGAGGTTACGCAGTGAGTTAATCATAGCATTTCTGTAATTAAGCTTAGAAAGAACATTCTCATTCCTTAATCTACCTTGCCTCTAACCACAACAGTTACAGTTTAGTAACTGTATTAGTTCCTTTTCACACTGCTGGTAAAGACATACCCAAGCCTCAGCAATTTACAAAAGAAATAGGTTTATTGGACTTATAGCTTCATATGGCTGGGGAGGTCTCACAATCATGGAAGAAGGCAAGGAGTAGCAAGTCACATCTTACATGGATGGCAGCAGGCAAAGAGAGAGCTTGTGCCAAGAAATTCCTGTTTTTGAAACCACCAGACCTTGGGAGACCCATTCACTGCCACGAGAACAGCATGGGAAAGATCAGCCCCCATGATTCCATTGTCTCCTGCTGGGTCCCTCTCACAACACATGGGAATTATGGGAGCTACAAGATGAGATGAGATTATGAGGACACGGAGCCAAACCATGTCTGTAACTACTGACCTTACTTCAGAGGTGAAGAAACCATGGTTTGAAGACTTGAAGACGACTGAACTAAAGAAGGCTTAACCACATAAACACATATCTGTTGTTTCCAAATGTCATGCTATTTCCACTGTATTAAAGCCCTCAATGCCATTTCAGCTCCTCATTCAGGAATTCTCACTCAGGCTCTACAGAAACTAGAATTCAGTACTTCTCACATACAGTCCAGTGCTCTTTCCCAATATCCCATCCTGCCCATCTCAGTTAGCTTTTATTGAGATACTAAGAGTGAATTTTGATAGTGTCATGGAATAAAGTAGACAGCTTCCATGCTCCACAATTTAAGGCAAACTGTTTATCACAGGAGTTAGGACATCAATAAATTGACAATTATGCCACTCCGTCCTCCTGCACTAACTCTATCAGCCTGGAAACAACACAAGCTAGCATGCTAGAAAAGGTGAGTGGGACCAAGGTTGACATGGTGACCTACAGCTGTGTTGTTGGTCACCTCTATGATACTAAAGGGGCATGAAAATGGTTGCCGGGTGGGCTGAGTAAGCAAGGGCCAGGTACATTTCAGTCATACTTGGGGAATCCATGAGATAGTGCTCACCTGGAGTGACAGTCTGACAGTTTGATTTTAAGCTGGAGGTGGGGAGGAGGGGCTACTATCCTTTGAAGTTAATTATTTATATCATATGAAAGCCAATATATACTAGCATAAAAATATTTCAGCATCATAATTCTAGCAGTTCTCAAATAACTAAGTAACCAGCATATACCATTAAAACACGTGAAAGTCCTATTTTATTTCTACTATGTCTGCTGTCATTTTTTTCCATTTATATTGCATTGTTTTGGCTTCTTCAATTTTTACTTTTTAATTTTTTCAGGTTATTCTCTACTCAGACACATTTTTCCCATTGCCCTTGACAACATCCCTCCTGGATTAATCCCGTTTTATTCACACTAAGGGAATTTAGACTTCCAATAAATATATACTTTTGAGAATTTATTTTCCTTTATTCATGACATTTATTTGAGATTTCTTTTTTCATTATGTAATACATGGAACTCGACCACTCTACATATTTTTTCATATGTGCTGTTTCTTATTGCATTATACTTTTTCATGGTTATTAGAATAGCATACTTTATTGAGCCACAAATTAAGGTTTTATCTACCCCCTATTTCTAATAAGCAGCCACAAATGTTGCTTCTAGCATCATTTTTAATACAATGTGTCTCAATTTACTATCCAGAATGTCTTTATTTATAATTTTTATGAAAGCTCTTTGACAAGACAAACTATTTTTTTCAGTTGAATTTCAATATATAATAACATGTTTGCTGAGTATTTCCTATATACTAGGCATTGTAGATGGATACACAGGTGAACAAAAGATAATCGCTGCTCTCAAGTAGAGGTGACAAAACATATACAAAATATGTACAAATAAGCGCAGAGCAGAATGTAATCATGTAAGAGTGAAATAAACATTATTTGACATCACTTGAGAATGTGTTGTTTAAATCCACAAAAATAAGTGGGATTTCAACAAGCTGAGAGGTAGAAATATGTCAGAAAAAAAATGGAATATCATGAACAATGTAAATGTAGTAAATCAGAAGAGGATGTGCTGCAAGATGGCAAATGATATGATGACTAAAATGTAAGGTAGAAATGCATTATTTAATAGGTAATAACGCTGGGAGAAGGATATGTTGAGGCCTTATAATGGAGTACTTTGAATTTTTATATGAGGGAGTTTGGACTTGATTCTGTCAGCAATCGGGATATATTGCTTTGTTTCAAATAGGTTGGTGATAGATCAAATAAAATGCTTTAGAGAGACCTTTTTTGTTGACAATAAATAGGTTACATTAGAAACATAGATCTGTTGGGAGACTTACAAAAAGTCTTGTCTGAGCAAATGAGAATTGAATGAAGTGGGTTAGGAGGCAAGGAGAATGGAGAATAGGAGATAGAGATAAATGATATATTTTTCATGCCCATCAATTATTCAGCAAGGTTTACATTCAAGAGTATTGTTCCCAGCACTGACCCTGTAAACAAAAATATGTCACTTTGTTTCATGGGAAACAGAAAATTTAAGAGTAGGCAAGGAGCATGACCAGCCAGGTAGCTGCAAGGAGGCAAAAAGACCCTCCCAGAAAATCTAAGACAAATCTGGAGGGAGGCCTATGTTTAGTGTTTGGTACATAAACTGTGTTGACAGAGTCTTCGAGAGTATCAACTAATCATAGACCCAAAGTCCTTAGATTTGTTAAGAACATTTCAGATCTTTTAATAATAAATTATTTTGTATGTAGAAAATAATTATTAAAGTATAATGCTAGTTGCCAGGGTGTAAGGTAAGGAGAAAATGGGGTGCTACTGTGCATTGGGTCAGAATTTTAATCATGCAAGTTGAAAAACTTGTAGAAATCTGCTGTACAAAATACACATATGGTTAACAATACTGTAGTGTACACTTACAGAATTTTTAATTGAGTAGATTTCATGTTCTGTGTTTTAATTACCATTGAAAAATAATTACTGAATGTCAATTACCTTCTTAGCCCTGTGCTAGGTAAAGTCGAAAATATCAAAGTATTATCAGATATGTTCATTCCTGTTATCAAGTTACAGTCTGATTAAGAAGATAAAATCTAAGTACATGACTCAGTAGTAAGCAATATAATAAATAGATGACAGCATACTGTGAGTTGGTGCTCCTTGAGTAGACTTTTTGAAAAATGTTGAACTTGACCTAGGCCTTTAGAAGTTGATAGGGTGTAGACAGACTGACCTTCAAAACTACATGTAAATTGTGTTTTACATTTTTTAGACTGCTTCTTATCCACTTATTCAACTGTTGTGTAAGGTAAGTTGGGAAGGTATTATGATGTACTTTTGATGATAAATATGATTCTCTTATCATATTTATTTTATGAAAAGATTATGGAGATATAAGATATTTGCCCAAAATCACTTACCTAACTTAATATTCAGCACCTTGATTAAAGTGTTGGGTCCAGAATGAAGAAAAATTAGTTGATTAAATGACTGCTACAGACATTATGGCTTTCATCTGGAGTTCCATCTCAATCATTAAATCTTGTATTTCTGAAAGATCTTCAGGCCAAATAACTCGGGGTCTCTTCTGTTTACAATGACACAATATCACAGATTATGACATATATATCTTTGACTTACCTAATGCTTGCAAGCTGACCTTGGAACTCCACTTATAAATAAAACTTTCCACAGTTGCCAAGTCCTTGTCCAATCTATCTTTTATCTATGCATCTTTTAGCTTTGTTAATCTGAGATTCACTCAAAAATCTGAATAAACAAGGGATAAAATACAAAGTATAAAGTATATCTGTGTTAGAGGTTTGGATATTTGATGAATTTGGATTAACTAATAAACTTGAACTCTGAAATATGGACACTTAAACCTCAGTTTCTCATTTTTTTCAGCACATGAACACCCCTCAATTGCACATAGTTCTGATTTATTCATTTTTGAAGTGTTTCTAGAGAGCAAATAGTTGAGATCAATAATTTATGATAAAGGAGACCGAGGCCTGGAGGGGATAAGTGACTTGATCAAGGACAAATAACAGAAGCCATTGTTATATGGAAAACTCTTTACCAAGAATTGTAATGACACAAACACTCTGAGAGCCAAATTGAATTTTACTGTTTTATTTTTACATTACTTTATGGGCCATAGCTCTTATATTTAATGAATACAATTATCTTGTATCTCATCTATCTTACCCTGTAATGCTACACACATTCTGTTCAAATACTATTTTTTTGCATTTGCATAAAAATTTAGATCTCTCAAGTTCATAAAAACATCATATCTAAATCAGTTCCACAAAGAAAAAAGATTATTATTTTACATATTCAGAAATCATTAAAAAATGATAGATGCACTCAGTATTTAAAATTGAACCTGTTTCTTATTTCCTTCACTAGGGATTCAGCAATATATCTAAGAAACATCTTAGTCAATACTGGAAAATTGAACTTGACTTTAGAGCTTGACTGAAGTGAGACAGTCAAATTTAGGCTTTGTATGAAAAAATATATCCAATTGTTTAGTTGTGTCATTTAAATGGTTTTACCCAAAATACAGGGTTATTACCAGCATTAACTGGTTTATGTATTTTTAGATTTAATTCACTTACATCATATTTTACTAGGAGGTCAGTCAATAGGCTTTGTGTAAAGTTTTGATTAACTATTGGCTTAATTGTGGGTTTGTAATTCTACTTGTTCAACTACTGAATTATGAATGTTTCTTTTTCCCTATTGAAAATAGATTATTTTTAATTGAGCAATAAATATTGTATGTATTTATCATGCCCAACATAATGGTTTCAAAAATGTATACACATGTATGGAGAGATAAGTTATTTGCCCAAAGTCACTTACTTAACTTAACATTCAGTACCTTGATTAAAGTTTTGGGTCCAGAATGAAGAAAAATTAGTAATCAAGTAAGTCTACATAAAAAATAGCTAACAAGACAATGGCAGGATTGAAATCTCATATATCAATAATAACTGTGAATGTAAATGGAAATAACACTCCACTTAAAAAAATAGAGTGGCAAGCTGGATGAAAAGACAGGAGATCATTGGGGCAAAAAAATCTAACCAAAAAACTAACTATGGACTTCAACTTGATACTTGACCAATTTGACCGAACAGAAATCTACAGAACGCTTCACCAAATCACAGAATATACATCTTTCTCATGTGCACATGAACATATTCTACTATTGACTATGTGCTTGGTCATGAAGCAAGTTTTAATAAATTCAAACAAATTGAAATAATACCAAGTACACTCTTGGACCACAGTGCAATAAAAATAGAAGTAAATATCAATAATACCTCTTAAAACTATAAAAATTAACAAAAATTAAATAACTTGCTCCTAAATAACTCATAGATGAACATCAATATTAAGGCAGAAATCAAATAATTATTTGAAATTAATAAAAATAGGGATACACGTTAGCAAAATCTCTGGGATGCAGCAAAAGCAGTGTTATAAGGGAAGTGCATAGTGTTAAATGCCTTAATCAAGAAGGTAGAATGATCTCAAATTTACAATCTAATTTTGTGCCTAAAGGAACTAGGAAAACAACGACCCAAAGCTAGCAGAAGAATAGAAGTAACTAAAATTGGAGAACTGAATAGAATTGAGATGCAAAAGTCTATACAAAAGATCAATGAAACCAAGAGTTGATTCTTCAAAATAAATAAATAATATTGATAGACTTCTAGCTACATTAGAAAAGTAAAAAATGAAGATCCAAATGAGTAAAATTAGAAATGATAAAGATTGCATTACAACTGATTCCACAGAAAGAAACAAACAAACAAAAAACCATCAGAGGATACTATAAAAACCTATATGCACACAAATTAGAAAATCTAGAGGAAATGCATAAGTTCCTGGAAACACAATCTTCCAGGATTGAATCAGGAAGATATTGAAAACATGAATGAACAATACTGAGCTCTGAAATGGAATCGGTAACAAAAAACAAACCTACCAACCAAAAAAAAGTTCTGGACCAAATGGATTCACAGCTGAATCCCACCAAGCATACAAAGAAGAGCTGGTACCAATCCTACTAAAACTATTTTAAAAAAAAAGGGGGGAGAAGGAGCTCTCTATAACTCATTCTATGAAGCCAATGTCAGCCTAATGCTAAAATCTGGCAGAGATACAAAGGAAAAGGAAAACTTCAGGCCAATGTTCCTGATGAACATAGATGCAAAAATCCTCAAAGAAATATTAGCAATCTGAATCCAGCATCACATCAAAAAGTTAATTTACCACAATCAAGTAGGATTCATTCCTGGTATGTGAGGTCAGTTCAACATACACGAATCAATAAATGTGATTCACCACATAAACAGAATTAAGACAAAAAATGTTCAATCATTTCAATAGATACAGAAAAAAAGCTTGTAATAAAATCCAACATCACTGCATAATAAAAGCCTTCAACAAACTAGGCATTTTGATACATCAAAATAATAAGAGCCATCTACGACACACTCACAGCCAAAATCATCCTGAAAAGTCAAAAGCTGAAGCTGTTCTCCTTGAGAATTGGAAAAACACGAGGATATCTACTCTCACCACTTCTATTCAACATAATACTGAAAGTCCTAGCCAGAGCAATCAGGCAAAATAAAGAAATAGGAGGCATCTGGATAGGAAAAGAAGTTAAACTATCTCTCTTCACTGACAATATGATACCATACTTAAAAAACCCTAAAGACTCCGCCAAAAAGCTAGGAGAGCTGATAATTTTGGTGAGCTTTTAGGATACAAAATCAATAGCATTTCTATATAACAATAAGGTACAGGCTGAGTGTTCAAATTAAGAACACAATTCAACTTAAAACAGCCACAAAGAAAATAAAATACCCAGCAATACAGCTAACCAAAGAGGTAAAAAATCTCTATAAGGATAACTACAAAAACCTGTTGGAAGAAATCAGAGACAACATAAATAAATGGAAAAAAATATCCCATGCTAATGGATTTGAAGAATCAATATCATTAAAATGGCCATACTGCTTAAAGCAACTTACAGATTCAATGCTATTCCTATTAAACTACCAATGTCATTTTTCACAGAATTAGATAATACTATTCTAAAATTCAACTGAAACCTAAAAAGAACACAAATAGCCAAAGAAATTCTAAGAAAAAAGAACAAAGCCAGAGGCATCACACTACTACACTTCAAACTATACTATAATGTTATAGTAAAAGAAACAGCAAGATACTAGTACAAAGTCAGATACAGAGACCAATGGAACTGAATAGAAAAGTCACAAATAAAGCCACATAATTACAACCATCTGATCTTTCACAAGGGTGACAAAAGAAAAGCAATGGGGAAACAACCCTCTTTTCAATAAATGGTGCTGAGATAACCAGATAGTCATATGTACAATAATGTAACTGGACACCTACGTTTCACCATATACAAAAATTAATTCAGGTTGGATTAAATATTGAAATGTAAAAACTCAAATTATAAAACCATAGAAGACTACCTAGGCAATATCCTTTTCAACATTGACCTTGTCAAAAGAGATTTTTGCTAAGTCCCCCAAAGCAATTGCAACAAAAACAGAAATTGACAAGTGAGACCTAATTAAAATAAAGAGTTTTTCCTCAGGGGGGGGAAAAAAACTATCAAGAGAGGAAACAGACAAACTACAGAATGGGAGAAAATATCTACAGACTATGCATCGAATAAATGTTTAATATTCAGAATATGTAGTAAACTTAAACAAGTCAACAAGCAAAATACAATTAACCCCTTTAAAAAATGGGCAAAAAATATGAACGGATACTTCTCAAAAGAATACATATAAGCAGTCAACAAACATATGAAAAAATACCATCATCACTAGACATCAGAGAGATGCTAATCAAAACCCAAATGATACACAATCTCACATTAGTCTGAATGGCTATTATTAAAAGTAAAAAAACAGCAGAATCTGGCAAGATTTAGGCAAGGAAATGCATATATACTGTTGGTGGGAATGTAAATTGGTCAGCCACGCTAGAAAGAAATTCGATGATTTCTCAAAGAACTTAAAACAGAACATTCAACACAGAATATTCCTTCAACACAGCAATTCCATTACTGAGTATACACCCAAATGAAAATAAATAATTATACCATAAAGACGCATGCACTCACATTGCTGCACTATTCACAATAGCAAAGACATGGAATCAATCTAGGTATCCATTAGTGGTGGAAGGAATAAAACAAGAGTTGCATATATACAGCATGGCATACTATGCAGCCACAAAAAAGAATAAAATCATAACCTTTTGGAGCAACATGGATGGAGCTAGAGGCCATAATCCTAAGGAAATTAATGCAGGAACAGAGAACAAAATACCACATATTTCCACTTACATGTGGAAGCTAAATATTCAGCAACTATTGACATTAACATAGAAACAGTAGGCACTGCAGACTACTAGAGAGAAGAGGAAAGGAAGGGGCAAAAATCTATATATTGGGTACTATAATCACTACCTAGGTGCGATATACCCATGTAACAAACCTGCACTCACACCCCTGTATCTAAAATAAAAGTTGACAAAAAAAGATAATGTATAAGTTGTGGAATGGCTAAATCAAAATATTTAACATATGCATTAATTCATAAGCTTGTCAGTTATTTGTAATGCAGACACTCGAATCTACTCTCTTAGAGTTACTTTCAAGAATGCAATACATTGTTATTAACTATAGTCTCCATGTTCTACAATAGGCCTGTTGAACTTATTCCTTCTATCTAACAGAAATTTTGCTGTTTTTACCACTATGCCCCAACAGTATCTAACAGAAATTTTGCTGTTTTTACCACTATGCCCCAACAGACACATGTCTCATAACTACCATTTTACTCTCTGCTTCTCTGTGCTAAACTTTTTTAAATTACACATATAAGATCATGTTGTATTTATCTGCATGTTCCTGGCTTGTTTTATATAGCATAATGGCCTCCAGGTTTATCAATGTTGTCACATATGACAGGAGTTTCTTCTCTTAAAGGCTGACTAGTATTCTAGTGTGTATACATACCACGTTTTCTTTACCCATTTATCTGATGATGGCCATCAGGTTGTTTTTACATCTTTGCTATTGTAAATAGTACTGCAATGAGCATGGGTATGCTAACATCTTTTTGAGATCCTGATTTAAACTGTTTTGGATAAATATCTGGAAATGGGGTTGCTGAATCATATGGTAGTTCTATTTTAATTTTTGAGAAACCTCCCTACCGTATTCCATAGTGGCTACAACATTTTGCATTCCCACCAACTGGGTATAAGGGTTCCAATTTCTCCAAAATTATGACATATTTTAATTATGTTCAAAATGACATTCCTCATGGCTTTAAAGTCTGGGTTTTAATATTCTTCAGGTAAAAAAGTCCAAAAGGTCAAGAGATGAATATAATTGAAAAGATAGTATGTTATCTTCAAAGATTCTAAAAGGAGGAGGCATGATATGCCATGGACAGGGAGTTGAGAGGACAAGGGACCTTCATTTGGTAAGCAGGCAGAGGGCGGGGGAAAGTGCAGACAAGAGCCTTTATTGAGGTTTCCATGGGAAGGAATGAGTGAGGCAAAGTAAACAGGCTTACTATTGATTAGTTTGAATAATGTCAACACAATGTGAGGAATGTGACGCCCCTAGTTGTTTGGTACCTGCCCTTACAGTGATTATGGTAGATTAATAGTGGACCTGAGTGAGCCAAATATAGGAGATGGTTGAGGTTGTGGTCTCTGGATTGTTTGTTTTGCATTTAAAAAGCATTCTTGCAGGTAACTCGTTTATTATTTCTAGAAATTGGTGAGCCCTAGAGGAGCAGTCCTTCTGTGGGCAGCAAGACCCCAGATATCAGATCATCATAATACAGAAAACAAAATAGGTGGTCCCACTTCTCATCTCAGTAAATATAAACTCAATCCTCCAATTTTCTCAGGTTTTGAGAGGGCTAATTATTGACTCCTCTTTCTCTCAACCTTACATTCAATTCTGCAACCAATGCTGTCATTTCTACCATTTAAATATATTCAAAGTATAGTCATTTCTTATCATGCCATTTTTCTTCATCATCTCCATTGCATTTTAGTTCAAGACAACATTATCTCTCATCTGAATTACTGCACTGGTTTATCTGCTTTTATCTTTGCTCCCCACATAATTGCACAGCAAATAGAGCAATCTTAAAAATACAACAAAGATGTTATTACTCACCCACTTAAATCTTTACAATGACCTACAAGGCCCTACATGATCTAGCTCCCATCAAATTATCTGACATCAACTCCTACCAATTCTCCTTTTATTCCTGACCTATCATATATTTACTAACTTGTTTACAGTATATCTCCTCCAGTAGAACGTAAAACTGCTCATGCCAAAGACATTATTGCTGTAATTCTGAAACCTAGAATAATGTTTGGCATAGAGTAAGTGTTAAATATTTTTCAATTATGTATTTGTTTCAACTGGGAAATTCCTGATTTGGGAACCCTCAGACCTCACATTCTCCAAGCTATTATCCAACCTTGACATGAACACCTGAATCATATTGAATAAGTAAAAATAGCATTAGATTAAATATCAGAAGTTCTGAGTTTTAGTATTAATTATCCTATTATATTCATTTGGTCCTATTCACAGCCACATAACACTTTGATTGATTCACATGTTTAATTGCTAAATATTTATTGTGCATTTAGACACTGGTTAGGTACTGAGTCTAAAGAGTTAAATTTAACATTGACTTTGTGGAGGTCACAATTTAGAAGGAAAGACAAAAATACTTGCAATATATGTATTATAATGGTACTAACAGAAAATAAAGACATGTCAAAATTAAGTTGTTATCAACTTAAAATAAACTGATATCACTATAGGATGCTGTATGTAAGCCTCATTGCAATGTCACTAAAAATCCTGCAGTAGATACACAGGAGAAACAGAAAGGAATCAAAGCCTACCAGTACACAAAATGATTAAATCGAAAAGGAAAACAAGAGAAGAGAACAAAGAAACTACAAAACAGTCAGAAAAATTTAACAAAATGGTAATGCTAAGTCCTTACATATCAATAATTATCTTGAATGTAAATAAACTCTGCAATCAAAAAACATAGGGGCTTAATGGAAAGAAAACAAGATCCAACTATATGTTGTTTACAAGAGACTCAGTTTAGGTTTAAGGACACACATAGGCTCAAGGTGAAAGGATGAGAAAAGATATTCTATGCAAATGATAACTCAAAGAGATCAAGAGGCTACAGCAGTGGTAAATATATATAAACCCAATATCAGAGCACCTAATCTATTAAGCAAACATTAGCAGAATTGAAGAGAGAAATAGAGGGTAATCCAATCATGGTAGGGAGATTCAATACCCTGCATCCAGCAATGGATAGATCATCCAGTCAGAAAATCAATAAGGAAACAATGGACTTGACCTTCACTTTAGACAAATGGACCTAACATACATATTCCTTACAGCACCAGCTGAATACATGTATTTGTCAAGCACACACAGAACTTTTTCCAGGATAGAACATAAGTTAGGGCACAAAACAAATCTCAACAAATTCAAGAAGATTAAAATCATGTCAAGTATCATTTCCAACCACCATGCTATGACACTAGAAATTAATAACACAAGAAAAACTGCAGCATTTTACACCGTGTGAAAATTAAATCACACACAAACAACCAATGGATCCAATAAGAAATCAAAAGGCAGAGCCCTCCTATTCTATACAGCTTCTATTAGGCTCCACCTTCCAGCAATGTTGCATTGGGAATTAAGTTTCTAACACTTGAATTTTGGGGGAGGACACGTCCATACCTTAGCACCACGTATCGGATAAGGGTTTAATATCCAAAATACAGAAGAAATTCCTATAATTTAATAGCTAAAGAACAAATAAAATTAAAACACCACAAATAAATTAATTAAAAATGGGCAAAGGATCTGAATAGACATTATTCCAAAGAAGACATACAAGTGGCCAACACATATTTTAAAAAATACTCAACAATGCTAATCATTCAGGAAATGCAAATCAAAACCACAATGAGATATTCCCTCACACCTGTTAGGATGGCTGTTATCAAAATGTCCAAAGATACATGTTGGTGAGAATGCGGATAATAGGGAATACTTGTTTGCTGCTGGTGGGAATGTAAATTGGTACAGTTATTATGGAAAATAATATGGAGTTTCTTCAAAAAATTAAAAACAGAACTATCATGTGATCTACAACTCCACTTCTGGTTATATATCCAAAAGAATTAAAAACACTATCTCAAAAGATATCTGCATTTTTATGTCATGTGGAATTATTCACAATAGCCAAAATATTGAGTGAATCTAAATGTCTATTGACAGATGAATGAATAAAGTGTGACATATGTACACAATAAATATTATTAAGCCTCTAAAATGAAAGAAATCCTGTCATTTGCAACAACATAGACGAACCTAAAAGGCATTGTGCTAACTGAAGGAAAACAGGCAAAGAAAGACAAATGCTGCATGATCTCAGTTATATGTGAAATAAAAAAAAATCAAATTTATAAAAATAGAGAGTGAATGGTGGTTGGTAGGGGCTGAGGGAATTATTGGTCAAAGTGTACAAAATCTTATGCAGGATAAATAAGTTCTGAGAAACTAATGTACAGCATAGTGACTATAGTAAATACTGTATTGTATAATTGAAATGTGTTAAATTTAAATGTTTTTACCACAAAAAAATGGTAACAGTGTGAGGTGATGTATATGTTAATTAGTTTGATCGAGGTAATTATTTCATGATGTAAACATATATCAGAATATCACATTGTACATCTTCAATATTTATAATTTTTAGTTGTCTATTTTGCCTCAATATACCCAGAAAATAAAGGAGAAAATCTCAAAGACATGAGCTTCTCCATGTTATCTCTAAAATAGAGAAGATAGTTGCTTAACACAGAGCTATTAGTAAGTGTCACATGAGAAAAAAGTTGATTAGTGAGCTTTGAAAATGGCAAAACATTCTGCAATTTTAAGGTATTCTTATAGAAATCTCATATTGTAGGTGCATTGCCTACCTCTTTTGTCCTCAGTAATTTCATCATCAAAGAGGCTCTAAAACAAAGATATAGTTGCCCCATTTACCTAACCTACTAATAAACCTCTGGATTGTTTGTTTCATTCTGTATGGCGAAGGATAAATATGTCACATTTTTTACTGCTATGGAAAATGAACTCCAGTTGGAAGGGTTGTGAATTTTGAGATTTTATTTCTATGTTTTTATAAGCCATATAATATGTAAATTACAGACATTAAAAAATATTTAAAAGGACAGAGCAGAAACGTTTGAAAGTTTTACTTCGGCTTGATTTTTGAAGTTAAATAAAAAATTTTTATTTAAAAATTATTACAATGGATTTTATTTTATCATTTATTAAAGTGTATTATAAACTAACCAAAAATGTATTTTAGAAAGGTTCAATAGATTATTTTAACTATAGTTACCCTATTGATCTATCAAACACTAACTTTCATTTATTTTCTCTAACTGTATACTCGTACCCATTATTTTAAAATAAATGTTAGTTAAGTTTATAATTGTAAATACCTGAATACCTAGCACATCCTTTATAGTGCAGATAGTACAAAACAACAAAAATTAGTGATTGTGACAGAATATTAGAAGGTTATAACAAGGATAGATACTGAGTTCAAAACAGGAACAAGAGAGGGGAAAGTATAATATGATATCAGAAATGCATCATCCCAGGAAGATTTATCCCTGGTGCTAGCTGTTCATATTCTTCTGGCAGATTCAATACTATTTTTTTAGTGCTCAAAGATGATGTGCAGAGTTAGTAGCTGAGTAGTTATGGTCAATACTGATTTTTTGCTGCTATTATAATTACATCAGTGCCTTGTAATGAAATATCCTAACAAACAACTTTTATTGTGATGCAGGTAAATTGTTAAAATATAGTACTATTAGTCTCATTGAATTCTGAAGGTTATTAATATGACAAGAAAACTTAATTATGACTTCGACGTTACCAATTCAATAGCTATATAAAAGTTGCAGTGGGTCAACTCCTAAGAAATATACTAAGTAGACATACTATAACATATTGCCTCCCCAACTGGGTCTTGATGAGAAGACACATTTTTTCAATTTGAATTGTTAAACCACATTTGACAGGCTTTGGCTTGTTAATTTTTATTGATACATAAATGGATATACATATTTTTAGGGAACATGTGAAAATTTGATACATTTTTATAATGTGTAAATATCAAATGAGAGTATTTTAGATATCCATTACTTTTAAATATTTATTTTTTCTTTATGATAGGAACATTTTAATTATTCCCCTCTAGCTATTTTGAAAGTTACAATATATTATTGTTAACTATAGTCACCCTATTGATCTACCAAACATTAACTTTCATTTCTTCTATCTAACTGTGTATTCGTACCCATTAATGAACCTCCCTCCATGCCCCCTGACTTCTCACAGCCCCTGGTAAGCATTAATCTACTCTTTATATTCATGAGATTCACTATTGTAGTTCTCATATATGAGTGAGAACATATAATATTTGTCTTTCTGTGCTTGGCTTATTTAACTTAACATAATGACCTCCAGTTTCATCCTCATTTCTGCAAATAATAGCATTTCATTCATTTTTTGTTTATTTTTAACTGACATATAATAATTTACATATTTATGGGATACATAGTGATTTTTAATACATATAATGTATAGTGAACATATCAAGGTAAATAGCATATCCATCATCTCAAACATTTATTATTTCTTTGTGTTAGGAACATCCAATATTTTTTTTCTAGCTATTTTAAACTATATATTATTGTTAACTATAGTCACCCTACAGTGCTGTGGAATGCTTGAACTTAATTCTGCCATTTAGCTGTAATTATTTTATCCTTTAACAAATTTCTCCCCAAGCTTCCTTCCCCTTACCCTTTTCAGCATCTAGTATCCTCTGTTCTAGTTTTTACTTCTATGAAATCAATAATTTTTAACTTCCAAATATCAGGAGAATTTGAGGTATTTAATTTTCCATTCCTGGCTTACTTTACTTAAATAATGTCATGCAGTTCTATTCATACTGCCAAGAATGACAGGATTTCACTCTCTTTTGTGGCTCTATAGTATTTTTTTATTATACTTTAAGTTTTAGGGTACATGCGCACAACGTGCAGGTTAGTTATATATGTATACATGTGCCATGTTGGTGTGCTGCACTAACTCACTCGTCATTTAACATTAGGTATATCTCCTAATGCTATCCCTCTCTCCTCCCCTCACCCCACGACAGGCCCTGGTGTGTGATGTTCCCCTTCCTGTGTCCATGTGTCCTCATTGTTCAATTCCCACCCATGAGTGAGAACATGCGGCGTATGTTTTTTTTTCCTTGCGATAGTTTGCTGATCCTGGACTTTTTTTGATGGGAGAATTTTTGTTACTGATTCAATCTCAGTACTTGTTATTGGTTTGTTCAGATTTTCTGTTTCTTCATTCAATCTTGATAAGTTGTTTGTGTGCAGAAGTTCATCCATTTTCTAAAGGATTTGAATTTATTTGTTAATATGCATTTGTTCATAGTAGTCCAATGATCCTTTGTATTTCTGTGATATCCATTGTAGCACCCCCTTTCTCATTTCTGATTATATTTGGATTTGTTCTGTGTTTTTAGTTACTCTAACTAATGATTTGTCAATTTTGTTTATCGTTTCAGAAAACCAACTTGTCTTGCTAATATTTTATACTTTTTGTAGCAATTTTGTTTATTTTAGCCCTGATCTTTATTATTTATTTTTTCTACTAATTTTGGGTTAGTATATAAAAGCTTTTGCTTTTATAGTTCCTTAAAATGCACCATAAAGTTGTTTATTTGAAATCTTTTAGTTTTTGATGTAGGCATTTATTGCTATAAACTTACCTCTTAATATTGCTGTTGCTCTGTTCCACAGGTTTTCTTACTTTTTTTATTTTCATTTGTTTCAAGGATATTTTAAAATTTCATTTTTAACTTGTTCATTGACCCATTGGATGTTCACAAACATGTTGTCTAATTTCCATGTATTTGTATAGTTTCAAATACTCTTGTTTTGTATTTCTAGTTTTCTTCCACTGTGGTCAGATAAGCCACTTGACACAATTTCAATTTTAAAAAGTTTCTGAGTTTTTTTGTGTTAATACATGTTGAGTGCTGGAGACTATTCAATGTGTTGATGGAAAGAATGTGTGTTCTGCAGCTGTTTGTTGAAATGTTCTGTATAAGTCTGTTAGGTACACTTTTTTTTTCTGTGAGGCAGTTTTAGTCTAATGTTTGTTGATTTTCTGTGCAGATGATCTATACTAGTACACAGGTGAGGTTGATGTCCCCACTATCATTGTATTGGGGTTTATCTCTCTCAGTATATATCACTTGCTTTACATATCTGAGTGCCCCCATGTTGGGTGCATATATATATAAAACTGTTATATTCTCTTGCTGAATTGATACCTTTATTACCATATAGTGTCCTTTGTGATCCCTTTTGACACCTTTTTACTTAAAGTCTGTTTTGTCTGATATAAATATAGCTACTCTTGCTTTCTTTTGGTTTCCATTTACATGGAGTATTTTTTCCATCCGTTCACTTTCAGTCTGTTTCCTTCCATACAGGGTGAATTTCTTGTAGGTAGCATATAGTTGGGTCACAATTTTTATTCATTTAGCAAGTTTGTCTTTTAAAAGAGAAATTTAATTTGCTTACATTAAAGGTTATTATTATTTTTTTGAGATGGAGTTTCACTCTTATTGCCCAGGCTGGAGTGCAATGGTGCGGTCTTGGCTCACTGCAACCTCTGCCTCCCGGGTTCAAGCGATTCTCCTGCCTTGGCCTCCTGAGTAGCTGGGATTACAGGTGCCTGCCACCACGCCCAGATAATTTTTGTATTTCCAGTAGAGATGGGGTTTCACCATGTAGGCCAGGCTGGTCTCGAACTCCTGACATCAAGTGATTCACCTGCCTTGGTCTCCCAAAGTGCTGGGATTACAGGCGTGAGCCACTGTGCCCAGCCTTACATTAAAGGTTATTATTGTTAGGTGAGAACTTACTACTGTCATTTTGATTGTTTTCTCATTGTTTTGTATATCTTTTTTATCTGAACTTCCTCTTTATAGTTTAATTTTGTGATTGGGTGTTTTTATGTAATGATAATATCTGATTCTCTTTCTCCTTTGTGTATTTTATAACTTCCAGTGAGTTTCATAGATTCATGTGTTTTCATGATGGTTGTTATCATCTTTTCACTTTGAGATGTAAGACTCTTTTGAACATTTCTTGTAAGGCCAGTCTGGTGGTGATGAATTCCCTTAGTTTTTGCTTGTCTGTGAAAGATTTTATTTCTTTTCCATTTATGAAGGCTAGGTTAGCTGGATATAATATTCTTGGCTAGAATTTTTATTCATTCAGTGGCTTGAATATATCATCCCATTCTTTCTGGGTCTGTAAGATTTCTGCTGAGAAACCTGCTATTAGTCTGATGAGGATTCCCTTACATTTGATGTCACTTCTCATTCCTGATGTTTTTATAATTTTTCTTATTTCTTTGACTTGTGACACTGATTCTAACATGCCTCAGAAAAGATTTATTTGGAGTCTATTTGTTATTCTTTGAGCTTCCTGGATCTGGATGTCCATTTCTCAATGAAGACTTGAAAAGATTTTAGCTATTATTTCATCAAGTATGTTTTATACATCTTTTTTTCTTTCTTCTTTTCTTTTTCTGGAATACGTATCTTGTAGATATTTCTTTGCTTGATGATGTCCCATAAATCCTGTAGGCTTTCTTCATTATTTTTTATTTTTTATTTTTATTTCTTTGAGATGGAGCCTCAGGCGGGAATGCAGTGGCACAATCTTGGCTCACTGCAACCTCTGCCTCCCAGGTTTAAGCGATTCTCCTGCCTCAGCCTCCTGAGTAGCTGGACTACAGGTATGCACCATCATTCCCGGCTAATTTTTCTATTTTTAGTAGAGATGGGGTTTCACCATGTTGGCCAGGCTGGTCTCCAACTCCTGACCTCAGGTGATCAGCTTGCCTCAGCCTCCCAAAATGCTGGGATTACAGGGATGAGCCACCACACCTGGTCTCTTTTTTATTCTTTATTCTTTTTTGTCTGCCTGTGTGATTTCAAAATACCTGTCTTCAAACTCAGAGATACTTTTTAAACTTTATCTAGTCTGTTCTTGAAACTCTTGATTGTGGTTTTTTTTTTTTTTAATTCATTGAGCTCTTCAGCTGTAGAATTTCTGTTTGGTTCTTTTTTATGATATCTATTTCTTTGTTGAATTGTTTTATTTGAATCATAAGTACTTTTCTGATTTCATTAAATCACCTCTCCTTATTTTCTTGCACCATACTGATTTTGCTTAAGATTAGTATTTTGATTTTTTCTTAAATTTTGTGTATTTTTTTGATTGGTGTCTGTTTTTGAATAATTATTGTGTTATGTAGAAGGCTTCATGCTTCCTTGCTTTTTTGTGTTTGTTATTTCCTTATGTTGATTTTTATGCATCTGATGAAACAGTTGGCTCTTCCAATTTTATGAAAAAGGTTTTGTAGGGAAAGATTTATTATTTGATGAGTTTGGGGGGTCTTGGTATAGTGGGGTGCATTGGCTTCATTCTAGGTTAGTGCAACAGTGAAATATTTATGTACATTCTTTAGCCCTCATCCATGCTAGTGACATTTGTGTGTGTCTCAGTGGCCTACACTGATAGAGGTGTGGCAGTGATGGTGCAGATATTTTGTGGGTGGGCTCACCAGGCTGTTTCTCTGGTCAGGAGTGCATGCATGAACATGGATCAACCAATTTGGGGTCTGGCTTGCTGGGGTTGGAGCCAAGGGGTTGTTACTCTGGCTTGGGCATAGGTGCACAGTTGCTTGGCCTGCCTTGGGGCATACTTGCCAGGGGCAGCCCATGGAGCTTTTTATCAGGCCCAGGATGCAGGCACACAACTGCTCAGCTGGGTTGGGAGTATGTCTTCCAGGAAAAGCCTGTGAAACTTTCTCAGGCCTGGGACATGGGCACAAGGCTTGTCACCTGGCCTGGGGTTGTGTGAGCTCGAGGTAACCCAAAGAGTTTGTACTCAGGTCTGGGAGATGGGCACACATCTTCTCAGCTGGCCTGGGTTTGTGTGCCACTGGTGGTTTATATGACCTTTCTCAAGCCTGGAACATAGTGCATAGCTCTTTGCTTGGCCTGGAGTCGTGACAGCCAAAGGTGGCTGTTTCTTAAGCCCTAATTGCATGTGTGAGCCTTTGGGCAGGCCATGGGAATATGCAAAGGGTGTGGAGTGGGTACCATAGGGCTATTTATCTTGCCCTAAGCACAGGCACATATACACTCTCCTGGCCTGCAAGCATTTTATCTGCTTGGTGGCTCAAGGGTCTCTCTCGCATGTGGGAGGGTATGCAGTGGTTTGGTTGGCTCAAGGGTGAGTTCACTCTGCAAATGACAACCAGACTGTTCCTCTGACTTAAAATGGCAGGTGTCAGGGGTGGGTATCCTTGCTGGAAAGTGCCGGAGTCAAAGTTAACCCTAGGCTCAGGCTCTGCAAAGCTGATTTGTGATGCTTAGCCATCCATGTGGCCTTGATAGAATGAATGAACATGGAGCCCCAGTGCTGGAGAGGTGAAGGTATACTTCAGAGGTGGCTCTAGTCTCAAGATTTTGCTATGGTGCAGCAGCTTGGCTCACAGTGGCTGGGTAGGGGATGGGGAATGCATAACTTGTGCTCCTATTCTGGAACCATGCAAATGTGTGAATTACTGGCAGTTCTCCTTACGATGCTCTGGACTTGTGAGGACTGTGTGATTCTCTTATTGCAAGGACTGTAGACATTTGCAGTGGCAGTGAGGGCTGGTTCAGTTATACCGCTTAGTTTCTCTCCATAAGTGGAAGTCCCACCTGTTGCTGGGCTGATCTGATCCAGGTTGGAGTGACAGAGCTGCATAGACCAGGTGCCTTTATGCTCCCCTCCTGACCTTCCAATTAGCACAGGACCCTTTCCACTCTAGCTGCACTGCAATGCATTCCATTTAACATTCTAGTAAAATCTTAGCTGTTTAATCAGTGCCCTAGTCCTTTCTGGTGTGGAGTGGAAGGTGCAGAGATGAGTGCCTGGCATCTCTAGTATGCCATCTTACTGATGTTCAGAATTTAATTATTTTGTATGGATGACTAATATTTTCACGTGTGTGTATACATATATATATATATATATGACATTTTAATATATTTATCCATTTATGGGAACTTAGGTTGCTTCCATATTATAGCTATTATTAATAGTGCTGCAATACATGTGAAAATCCATATATCTCTTTGAGATATTTATTTTCTTACTTTTGGATATATACCCAGTAGTGGAATTGACGTACCATGTGGGAGTTCCATTTGTAGCTTTTTGATGAGCCCCAATACGGTTTTTCTTAGTGGCTATAATAATTTACATTCCCAGCAACAGTTTATGAGAGCTCCCTTTTCTTCATATCCTTCCTAACATTTTTAACTGGGGTAAGAAAATATCTCATTGTGCTTTGATTTGCATTACTCTAATGTTAGTGATGTTGAGCATTTTTATATACCTGATAGTCATTTGTATGTCATCTTTTAAGAAATGTCTATTTAGATATTTTCCCATTTTAAAATCAGATTTTTGCTACTGAGTGGTTTGAGTTCCTTCTATATTTTGAGTATTAATCCCTTGTCATATTAATAGATTGCAAATATTTTCTCCCATTCTGTGGATTGTCTCTTCACTTTGTTGATTGTTTCCTTTGCTGTGCAGAAGCTCTTTAGCCTGATGTAATCCTATACATATTTTTACTTTGATTGCCTGTACTTTTGAGGTTTTACACACAAAAATATATTTGCCTGCACCAATGTCCAGGAACATTTTGCCAATGTTTCTTTTAGTAGTTTCATAGTTTGAGGTGTTACATTTAAGTCTTTAATTCATTTTTATTTAATTTTTTTGTAAGTGATGAGAGATAGGTTTCTATCTTATTCTGCATATGGTTATCATGTTTTCTCAGCACCATTTATAACGACATTGTCCTTTCCCCATTGTATGTTCTTCATGCTTTGAAAAAAAAGTGAGTTGGCTGTAAATGCATGGATTTTTGTCTTGGTTTGCTGCTTTGTTTCGTTGGTCAATGAGTCTGATTTTATGCCAGTACCATGCTGAGTTGATTACTATAGATTTGTGGTATGTTTTGAAGCCAGATAGTATAATGCCTCCAGCTTTGTTATTTTTGCTCAGGATTGTTTAGTCTGTTCAAAGTCTTTTGTGGTTCCATGTAAATTTTGTAATTTTTTTCTATATCTTTAAAGAATGTCATTTATCCTTTGATAAGGATTGCATCAAGTCTATAAATTGCCTTGAGTTTTAAATGACATTTTAACAATATACATTTTTTTTCAACTATGAGCATGGACTATGTTTCATTTGTGTGTGTGCTCTCTTCAATTACTTTCATCAGTGTTTTATCATTATTCTTGTACAGATCTTTCACTTTGGTTAAATGACTTTTTAGGTATTTCTTATTCTCTGTATCTATTGTAAGACTGCTTTATTGATTTCTTTTTAGATTGTTCACTGTTCATGTATGTAAGTGCTGCTGATGTTGATTTTGTATTCTGCAACTTTACTAAAATCATTCATTAAATATAATAATTTTTGATGGAGTTTTTGGAGTCTCGCTCTGTTGCCAGGCTGGAGTGCAGTGGTGGATCATGGCTCACTGCAACCTTCAGCTCCAGGGTTCAAGCGACTCTCCTGCACAGCCTCCTGAGTAGCTGGGACTACAGGTGTGCATCACCACACCCAGCTAATTTTTGTATTTTTAGTAGAGACAGGGTTTCACCATGTTGGCCAGGATAGTCTCAATCTCTTGACCTCGTGATCTGCCCACCCCAACCTCCCAAAGTGCTGGGATTACAGACGTGAGCCACTGTGCCTGGCCAGAGATTTATTTTTTTCTAAATATAAGATCATGTCATCTGTGAACAAGAGTAATTTGACTTCTTCCTTTCCAATTTGAATACCTTTTATTTCTTTCTCCTACCTAATTGCTCTAGCTAGAATTTCCAGTGTTATGCAGAATAAAAATGGTGAAAGTGTGCATCTTTATCTTGTTCCACATCTTAGAGAAAAGCCTATCAAATTTTCCTCATTCATTATGATGTTAGTCATAGATTTGTCATATATAGCCTTCATTACTTTGAGGAATGTTCCTTCTATACCCAGTTTATTCAGAAATTTTATCATAAAGGGTGTTGAATTTTATGGAATGCTTTTTTTTGCATCTATTAAAATCATCACTTTTTTTTCCCTTGGTTTCTTAATGTGGTGTATCATGTTTATTAATTTGTGTATATTGAACCATCCTGGGATCCCTGGGTTTAATCCCACTTAATTATGGTAAATGACCTTTTTAATGTGTTGTTGAATTTTGTTTGCTAGTATTTTGTTAAAAATTTGTGAATCTATGTACATTAAAGATATTTGTCTGTAGCTTCCTTTAATTGCGACATCTTTGTTTGGCTTCGTTATTACGGTAATGTTGGTCTCATAAAAAGAGCTTAGAAGTATTACCTTAATGTTGTTCTCTGTAGCAATGTGAGTAGAATCAGCATTCGTTTTTGTGTTTTAAGTTTGGTAGAGTTCAGTAGTGAAGCCATCAATTCTTCTTTGTTGGGAGACTTTTTATTATAGCTATGATCTCATTAATTGTTTTTGGTTTATTGAGGTTTTTCATTTTTTAAGGTTTAATCTTGGTAGGTTGTACGTGTTTAGAAAATCACCCATTTCTTCTATGTTTTTGAATTTCTTGGTGTATAGTTGTCCATAGTAGTCTCTAGTGGTTCTTTGCATTTCTGCACTGTCACTTGCTCTGTCTCTTTTTTTGTTTTTGATTTTATTTATTTGAGTCTTCTTTTTTTTTCAGTTATTCTAGGTAAAGATTTGTCAACTTTATCTTTTCAAAAAGTAAAGTTTTCATTTTATTAATCTTTTGTAGTATTGTTTTATCTCAATTTTATTTATTTCTACTCTGGTTTTTATTATTTATTTTCTTCTGCTAATTTTGTTTTTGGTTTGTTCTCACTTATCTTCTTCCTTAAGGTGTATTTTTAGGTTGCTTTAAGTCTTTCTACTTTCTTTATATAGATGTTTATTTATATATTTCTCTTTTAGTATTGTTTTTGCTGTATCCTATAATTTTGATATGTTATATTTTCATTTCGTGTGTTTTATAAATTTTTTAAGTTTTCTTCTTAATTTCTTCATTGATTCATTTGTCATTTAGGATTATGTTGATTAATTTTCATGTGTTTGTGTTGTTTCTGAGATTCCTTTTGTTATTGACTACTAGTTTTATTCCTTCTTGGTCAAAAATATACTTGATATGATTTCCACTTTTGTGAATTTGTTCATACTTGTTTCGTGACCTGAGATACAGTCTATTCTGGAAAATGTTATATAGGCAGATTAAAAATATGTTTTTTTGCAGAAGTTGAGTGAAAAATTCTGTAAATGTAAGTTAGGACTATTTAGTATAGTGCGGCGTAGAAACACTGATGTTTCTCTGTTGACTTTCTTTGTGGATTATCTGCCCATTTCTGAAAGTGGGGTGTTGAAGTCCTCTACTATAATTGTATTGCTGTTTAGATTTATAAAAATGTGCTTCATACAATTGGATGCTCCTGTGTTGGGTGCATAGTTATTTACATATTTATAATTTTTATATCCTATTGTGAAATTGACAAAGTGAAATTCTTTGTCTTTTTATTAATTTTTTATTGTATTTTAATTCTGGGATACATGTGCAGAAAATGCAGGTTTGTTACTTAGGTATACATGTGTCATGGTGGATTGCTGCAGCCATCAACCTGCATCTACACTAGGTATTTCTCCTAATGCTATCCCTCCCCTTGCGCCCCACACCCTAACAGGCCCCGGTGTGCGATGTTCCCCTCCCTGTGCCCATATGTTCTCATTGTTCAACTCCCAGTCATGAGTGAGAAAGTGAGGTGTTTGGTTTTCTGTTCTTGTGTCAGTTTGCTGAGAATGATGGTTTCCTGATTCATCTATGTCCCTGTAAAGGACATGAACTCATTCTTTTTTATGGCTGCATAGTATTCTATGGTGTATATGTGCCAAAATTTCTTTACCCAGTCTATCATTGATGGGCATTTGGGTTGGTTCCAAGTCTTTGCTATTGTAAATAGTGCTGCAATAGACATATGTGTGCATGTGTCTTTATAGTAGAATGATTTATAATCGTTTGGGTATATACCCAGTAATGGGATTGCTGGGTCAAATCGTATTTCTGGTTCTAGATCCTTGAGGAATCACCACACTATCTTCTGCAATGGTTGAACTAATTTACACTCCCACCAACAGTGTAAAAGTGTTCCTATTTCTCCACATCCTCTCCAGAATATGTTGTTTCCTGACTTTTAATAATCGCCATTCTAATGGGCATAAGATGGTATCTCATTGTGATTTTGATTTGCATTTCTCTAATGTCCAGTGATGAAGAGCTTTTTTTCATATGTTTGTTGGCCACATAAATGTCTTCTTTTGAAAAGGCCTGTTCATATCCTTTGCCCCATTTTGATGGGGCTGTTTGTTTTTTTCTTGTAAATTTGTTTAAGTTCTTTGTAGATTCTTGATATTAGCCCTTTGTTAGTTGGATAGATTGCAAAAATTTTCTCCCACTCTGTACCTTGCCTGTTCACTCTGATGATAGTTTCTTTTGCTGTGCAGAAGCTCTTTAGTTTGATTAGATCCCATTTGTCAATTTTAGCTGTTATTGCAGTTGCTTTTGGTGTTTTAGTCATGAAGTCTTTGCCCATACTTATGTCCTGAATGCTATTGCCTATGTTTTCTCCTAGTGTTTTTATGGTTTTAGGTCTTACATTTAAATCTTTAATCCACCTTGAGTTAATTTTTATCTAAGGTGTAAGGAAGGGGTCCAGTTTCAGTTTTCTGTATATGGCTAGCCAGTTTCCCCAACACCATGTATTAAATAGGGAATCCTTTCCCCATTTCTTGTTTTTGTCAGGTTGGTCAAAGATCAGATGGTTGTAGATGTGTGGTGTTATTTCTGAGGTCTCTGTTCTGTTCCATTGTTCTATATATCAGTTTTGCTACCAGTACCATGCTGTTTTGGTAACTGTAGCCTTGTAGTATAGTTTGAAGTCAGATAGTGTCATGCCTCCAGTTTTGTTTTTTTGCTTAGGATTGTCTTGGATATACGGGCTCTTTTTTGTCTCCATATGAAATTTAAAGTAGCTTTTTTTTCTAATTCTGTGAAGAAAGACAATGGTAGCTTGATGGGGATAGCACTGAATCTCTAAATTACTTTGGGAAGTACGGCCATTTTCACCATATTTATTCTTCCTATCCATGAGCATGGATTATTTTTCCATTTGTTTGTGTCCTCTCTTATTTCCTTGAGCAGTGGTTTGTAGTTCTTCTTGAAGAGGTCCTTCACATCCCTTGTAAGTTGTATTCCTACGTATTTTATTCTGTTTGTAGCAGTTGCGAATGGGAGCTCACTCATGATTTGGCTCTCTGTCTGTTATTTGTGTACAGGAATGCTTGTGAGTTTTGCACATTAATTTTGTATACTCAGACTTTGCCAAAGTTGCTTATCAGTTTAAGGAGTTTTTGGACTGAGACGATGGGGTTTTCTATATATACAATCATGTCATCTGCAAACAGAGATACTTTGACTTCCCCTCTTCCTATTTGAATGCCCTTTATATCTTTCTCTTTCGTGATTTCCCTGGCCAAAACTTCCAATACTATGTTTAATAGGAGTAGTGAAGGAGGGCATCCTTTTCTTGTGCTGGTTTTCAAAGGGAATGCTTCCAGCTTGCTGGACTCCGTGGGGGTGGAATCCACTTACTTACTTACAATCTTACTACTTTCATTTCATTGCTTCTTATACTGATTTTTTGTTATTTCTTTCTTCATTTCTTACTGTTTATCTTTGTGATTAAGTCAGTTTCTCTGATACGTTTTGAGTCATTGCTTTCTTATTTTGTGTATCTATTGTAGGTCTTTGCATTGTGATTATCACCAGGCTTACAAAATCATCTTGTGGATCTACCAGGTTATTTTGAAGAGATGAAAACTGATTTTAGATCACAAAGACAAAATTGAAATGAAAAAAAGCCAAAAACCCTTTATACTTTAATAATACCTCCCTCCGGTTTTTACTTTTCGTTGTGTCCATTTTCATAATTTTATAATGGCCAAAATTATATTAGATTTCTGTATCTATTATTGCTTTTGGTAGATTTAGACTTCATAATTGAAATATGAGTAAATTGTGTACCACAATTGCAGTATTAGAGTATTCTTGGTTTGTCTTTGTACTTAATTTTATCAATAGGTTTTATACCTTCATTTTTTAAATATTAGTGTTAATTTTCTTTCAGATTGAAAATCTGCCTTTATAATTTCTTACATGATAGGTCTGGTTTAGGTGAATTCTCTTAGCTTTTGTTTGTCTGAGAAAGATTTTATCTCTTCCTATTTGAAAGACTACTTTTCTAGACACAGTATTTTTGGATGACAGCTTTTTTTTTTTTTTTTTTTTGAGCACTTTGAAAATTTTATCTCACTCACTCCTGGCCAGTGTAAGTTTTCACTGTGAAGTATGTTAAAGAAGAATTGGAGCTCCTTTATATATTATTTGCTTCTATCGTCTTGTTGCTTTTAGAATTCTCTCTTTGTTCTTGACCTTTGAGAGTCTGATTATTATATGCCTTGGTGTAGTCTTATTTGGGTTGAATCTTTTTGGTGTTTTCTTTTTGGTGTTAACTGGATATTTATATCTTTCTCAGGTTTTGAATCATTTTCTGTTATTATTTTTTAATACAATTTCTACCCCTTGTTCTGGCTCAACTTCTTGCTGAACACCAATAAATTTTTGATTTAGTGTTTTCAAATAATTTTCTATATTTATAGGCAATCTTTGTTTATTTTCATTCTTTCTTTCATTTTACATTTTTTTCAGGTACTGAGTAGTTTTAAATATTTTTTGAGGTCACTGATTCTTTCTTCTGATTTACCTATTTTACTATTGACAGCTTGTAATTGTTTTTTTTAGTTCAGAAATGTATATTTCAGTTAAAAGTTTTCTATTTGATTTTTACTTTTATTTCAATCTCTGTTGAATTTCTCTGATGACTTTCTGAATTGCATTTCCGTGTTATCTTGTAGATCACTGGGTTTTTTTAAACTGCTATTTTAAATTATTTAGAAAACTCACATTTTTTTAAAAAAAAGGGTAAGTCACTGGTTCCTTACTTTCTTTGTTGTGGGGAGATTATAGTTCCCTGTTTGCTGTTGTTTCTTGTGGATGTCTATCTATGCTTCCGCATTAAGGAATTAATTATTTATTGTAGTCTTCTCTGTCCTTCTTGTTTTGGTTTATATTAAATATGTTTGCTTAGAAATTGTTTGAAATTTAGCTGTGGACTTTTTTTTTCTTTCTACTAGGTTGCTACCTCCTTTTCAGCATTAGATGGCACCTTAAGCCAAGGTTTGCCTTGGCTATAGTAAATGATAAGAACCCTGCCCTTTCTTAATGAGGAGGCCCCAAAGTGGATATATCATTAGTTTGGAAAGGCTGGCTAGGTGTTCATGCCCAAGTGGAACATGCCTCATACAGCCTTGTACTACTGAACAGCTACTCGGATTTGTCACTTATTTTGGCCAAGTTACAGGGCAGAATTTTCAGAGCTGGTAGTCCTGCCTTCCCCCTTTGTCTCTGGCTGTCCTCAGGAATATTTCTTCTCTTAGGTGCTTACAGTGCTTCCCTTGAGTTGAGGCAGTGACAGATATCTTCTTGCTAGAGAACCCAAGATGGTGGGGAAGCTTATTGTTAACCTTGATCCTTGTTCTCAAATGTGAGTTGGGAGATACTTTTTAAATTCTTTGTGTTGGGCAGAGGAGGGGTATGGGCATAATTAATACGTAAATCCAATTATTTTATTGTCATCTCAGAGCTTTTCAGTTCTCTGGATCTCTGGGAACTGTATCATACTGCTATTTGTGTTAGGAGGTATTGCTGGTGGTAGTCTCAGTGATATACATATATATACACATCTCATAGTTGCCTCAAAATTTTTATAATTTTGCTGTAATCACTCATGTGTAGGTTTTTGTGAGGACATTAATATTCAGTTCCTCTAGGTAAATATCAAGGAGAATGATGGGTGAATTGTATGGTAAGAACATATCTAGTTTTCTAATGAAGACTCCACCTATATTCCACTGTAGCTGTACCATTTTTTATTCCCACCTGCAGTGAACGAGAGTGTCTATATTTCACACTCCTAGCCAGCATTTGGTGTTGTCAGTATCTGAATTTTGGTTGTTCTAATATGTGTGGAGTGGTATCTCATTGTTTTAATTTGAATTCCCCTGATGACACATAATGTGGAACACATTTGTATATGTTTATTTTTTACTGTATATTTTCTTTAGTAAGGTGTCTGTTAAGGTTCCTGGCTCACTTTTAAGTTAGGTTATATGTTTTCTTATTTTTGTGCTTTAAGTGTTTCTGTGTATTTCAGATAACAGTTCTTTATATGTCTTTTGCAATTGTTTTGTCCCAGTCTGTGGCTTGTCATTTTATTCTCTTGCATAAAGTTCAGATTATCAATTCTTTCTTCTACAGATTGTGCCTTTGCTATTGTATCAATAAATTCTTCACCAAATCAAGGACATTTAGACCTTCTTCTACATTATTTTCTTAAGATTTTATAGATTTATTTTTATATTAATTGGTTATCAATTTTTAGTTAATTTTTGTAAAACATATAAGGTCTGTAGGTCTGTGTCTAGAGTTTTTTTTAACTATGTGGATGTCTTGTTGTTACAGCACCATTTATTGAAAATGCCATCTTTTCTCCATTGTACTGTTTTTATTCTTTCTTACACATCGGTTGACTATGTTTATAACAATGTTAAATAGATTATGTCTCTTTATGAGCTCTCTATTCTGTTCCATTAATCTATCTGGCTATTCTTTGCCAATATCTCACTTTCTTGATTACTGTAGCTTTATAGTCAGTTTTGAAGTCAGGCAGTGTTATTTATCCAAATTTGTTCTTCTCCTTTAATATTGTGTAGGTTATTCTGGGTCTTTTGTTTCCACACATAAACCGTTGAATCCATTTGTTGACATTCAAAAAATAACTTGCTGTGGTTTACATAAAAGGTGTGTTAAATTTGTAGATCAACTTTGGAAGAACTGACATCTTGACACTATTGAGGCTTTCTATCCATAAACATGAAATATTTTTCCAGTAATTTAAGCTTTTTGAAATTTCTTTTATCACAGTTTTTTCATTTTTTATATAAACCTTGTATGTATTTTGTTGGATTGATACCTAATAATTATTTTGAATGCCAAGGTAAATAGTATTGTGTTTTTAATTGTAAATTTCACTAGTCTATTTTTAGTATATAGGAAAGTGATATTTTTATATTAATCTTGTATCCTGCAACCTTGCTATAATAGCTTAGTAGTTCCAGGAGGTTTTTGTTGTTTCAGATATTTATTAATATATAGATAATCATGTCATCTATGAACAAACACAATTTTATTTTTCACTTCCACTCTGTATACCTTGTATTTCCTTTTCTTGTCTTATTGCAGAAGCTGGAAATTTCAGTATGATATTAAAAAGCAATGGTAAAAGGGGACATCCTTGTCTATATCTGATATTCATGGGAAAGCTTTGAGTTTCTCACCATTAAGTACAGTCTTAGCTGTGGGGTTTTTGTAAATTCTTTATCAAATTGAGGAAGTTTAATTCTGTGCCTACATTACTGAGCATTTTCACTATGAATCCGTGTTTAATTTTGTCAAATGCATTTCTTACATTTATTGATATAGTCATTTTTCTTTTTCTTTATTCTCTCAATGTAGTGGATTACATTAGTTAAATTTTTTACTGTCAAACCAGCATTGCACACCAAAGATAAATACAACTTAGTTTTTGTGTATAAATCTTTCATTATATTTAATAACTTGATACGCTAATATTTGGTTGAGGATTTTTGCATCTGTATTCATGAGTGATATTGGTCTGTGGTTTTCTTTTAATTTATTTGTCTGGTTTTGGTTTTAGTGTAATGCTGGCCTCATAGAATGAGTTAGAAAACATTCCCTTTGCTTCTGTCTTTTGAAAAAGATTATAAGAAATTGGTATAATTTTTTTTTCTTAAATTTTTGGTAGAATTCATGAGTGAACCCATTTGAGCCTTTGTACTTTCTATATTAAAAAGTTTTTTATTTCATTTCTTCCATAGATATAAGTTTATTTAGATCATCTCTTTCTTCTTGTGTGAGTTTTACAAGATTATGTCTCTCCAGAATTAGTTCATTTTATGTATATAATCAAATTTGTGGGCATAGAATTGTTCATAGTGTTCTTTTACTATGCTTTTAATCTTCATGAGATATGTAGTGATATCCCCTCTTTTATTCCTAATATTATTAATATGTGTCATCTCACTGCTTTTAAAAAAGAAATTAGTCTGAATGGAGGCTTATTGATTTTATTGATTTTTTTTTACAGAATTAGTATGGGGGAACCCGCCCCCAATATTTCAATGTAGGTTCTTTCTATTTTCCATAAGTGTCGGCAGGCTGAGAAATAAAGACAAAGAGTACAAAGAGAGGAATTTTACAGCTGAGCCTCCGGGGGTGACATCACATATCAGTAGGACTGTGATGCCCACCTGAGCTGCAAAACCAGCAAGTTTTATTAAGGATTTCAAAAGGGAAGGGGGTGCAAGAACAGGGAGTAGGTCACAAGATTGCATGCTTCAAAGGGCAAAAAGGAGAACAAAGATCACATGCTTCTAAGGAAACAGGACATAAGGCAAAACAGAACTACTGATAAGGGTCTATGTTCAGCTGTGCACAAATTGTCTTGATAAACATCTTAAACAACAGAAAACAGGGTTTGAAAGCAGAGAACTGGTCTGACCTCAGATTTACCAGGGTGGGATTTTTCCCCACCCTGGTAAGCCTGAGGATACTGCAGGAGACCAGGACTTATTTCAATCCTTATCTCAACCACATGAGACAGACACTCCCACAGTGGCTGTTGATAGACCTCCCCCCAGGAATGCAATTCTTTTCCCAGAGTATTAATATCAATATTCCTTGCTAGGAAAAGAATTTAGCGATACCTTCCCTGCTTGCGCGTCCATTTATAGGCTCTCTGCAAGAAGAAAAATATGGCTCTTTTTGCCCGACCCCGTAGGCAGTCAGACCTTATGGTTGTCTTCCCTTGTTCCCTAAAATCGCTGTTATTCTGTTCTTTTTCAAGGTGCAATGATTTCATATTGTTCAAGCACACATGTTTTACAATCAATTTGTACAGTTAACACAATTATCACAGAGTCCTGAGGTGATGTACATGCTCAGCTTACGGAGATAACAGGATTAAGAGATTAAAGTAAGACAGGCATAAGAAATTATGAAAGTATTATTTGGGAACTGGTAAATGTCCATGAAATCTTCATAATTTATGTTCCTCTGCCGTGGCTCCAGCTGGTCCCTCCATTCAGGGTCCCTGACTTCCCACAACAAAATAGGTTTTGGTTTCATTTATTTTCTCTTTTCAATTTTATTAATTTATATTTGAATTTCTATTATTTATTTTCTTCTGTTTACTGTGGACTTAATTTGTTCTTCATTTTCAAATTTCTTAAGGTGGAAGCTTAGGTTGACTTTGGATCTTTCTTCAATACTGATATGTACATTTAATGCTGTACATTTTTATCTAAGCACTGCTTTTGCACATCCTGCAAATGATGATTTTATATTTTATTTTCATTTAGCTCAAAGTATTTTAAAATTTATCTTGAGATTTATTTTTTATCCATGTGTTATTTAGAAGTGTGTATTTTAAAAATTAAATTTTAAAATAATCGACACAATAATTGTATGTACATTTCATAATATGTAATATATTAATACCTGCATATATTGTGTAGTAATTAAATCAGAGTAATTATATTTATTATGTCAAACATGTAGCATTTCCTTGTGGTAGAAACTTTCAAAATATTCTCTTCTAGCAATTTTGATACATACATTGTTTATTGTTAACTACAATATAGTCACTCTACTGTACAATAGGACACCATAATTTATTCTTCCTTTCTAATTGTAACTTTGTACCTGTTGACCATCCTCTGCTCATCTATTCTCTTCTCTATGATCTGCAGCCTTTAGGAGCCTCTGTTTTATTTCTTTTATGAGGTCAGATTTTTTAGATTTGCATATGAGAGAGAATATGTGGCATTTTTTATCAGTGTCTGGCTTATTTCATTTAACATAATGTTTAATACAGAAAATTTGATATATATATACACTACAGAATACTGTTCAGCTATTTAAAAAGAATAAAATCTTGTCCTTTGTGACAACATAAAAGTGTATCTTTTAATCTCCAAATAATTGATTTTCTAGCTTTTTAAAATTATATTTTAATTTAATTATAATGTAATCTGAGAGGAGACACTGTATGATTTCTCTTTTTAAAATTTTGTGGAGGTGCTTTTATGACCCAGTGTGCTACCTAGCTTAGGGAATGTACCATGTGAGGTGGAGAAGAGTATGTAATCTGCTGTTGTTGGATAATGTAGTCTATAGATAGCTGTTATATCCAGTTGATTAGTGGTTTTGTTGAGTTCTATTATGTCTTTAGTAATTTTCTGCCTGCTGAATCTGCCCAATTCTGATAATGGGAGTTGTAGAATTCAACTATGTTGGAGGATTCATCTATTTCTTCTTGCAGTTGTATTAGTTTTTGCCCAATATATTTTGATGCTCTGTTGTCAGGCACATACACATTAAGGATTATGTCTTCTTGAGGAATTGACCCTTTATCATTATGTAATGTCATTTTTTATTCCTTATAAAAATATTTGCTCTGAAGTCTGGGCTATTTAAAATTTATACAGCTTTTGATTAGTGTTAGCATGGTAAATGTTTTTCCTTTCATTTACTTTTAATCTATGCATGTCTTTATCTTTAAGCTAGATTTCTTATAAATAACATATAGTTAGGTCTGATTTTTTATTCACTCTGACAATGTCTGTTTATTCATTTGTGCAATTAGAACATCAATATTCAAAGTGATTATTGATATAGTTGAATTAGTACCTACCGTATTTGTTACTGTTTCCTATTTGTTAATCTTATACTTTCTTCCTATTTTTTTCTTGCTCTCTTCTGTCTTTTGTAGTTTTAACTGACTGTTTCATATGATCTCCTTTTCTCTCCTTTGCTAGCATATTATAAACACTCTAAAACATTTTTAGAGGTTGCTGCATAGTTTGTAATATACATTGATATAAAGAATGCCTGTTGAACCAGCCTTGCATCCCAGGGATGAAGCCGAATTGATCATGGTGGATAAGTTTTTTGATGTACTGCTGGATTCGTTTTGCCAGCATTTTATTGAGGTTTTTCACATCAATGTTCATCAGGGATGTTGGCCTGCAATTTTCTTTTTTTCGTTGTTTCTCTGCCAGGTTTTGGTATCAGGATGATGCCGGCCTCATAAAATGAGTTAGGGAGGAGTCTATTTTTCTATTGTTTGGAATAGTTTCAAAAAGAATAATACCAGCTCCTCTTTGAACCTCTGGTAGAATTTGGCTGTGAATCTATCTGGTCCTGGGCTGTTTTGGTGCGGTAGGCTATTAATTACTGCCTCAATTTCAGAACTTGTTATTGGTCTATTCAGGGATTCGACTTCTTCCTGGTTTAGTCTTGGGAGGGTGTATGTGTCCAGGAATTTACCATTTCTTCTAGATTTTCCAGTTTATTTGCATAGAGGTGTTTACAGTATTCTTTGATGGTAGTTTGTATTTCTGTGGGATCAGTGGTGATATCCCCTTTCTCATTTTTTATGGCACCTATTTGATTCTTCTCTCTTTTCTTCTTTATTAGTCTTGCTAGCAGTCTATCAATTCTGTTGATCTTTTCAAAAAACCAGCTCCTGGATTCACTGATTTTTGGAAGGGTTTTTCATGTCTCTATCTCCTTCAGTTCTGCTCTGATCTTAGTTATTTCTTGTCTTCTGGTAGCTTTGGAATTTGTTTGCTCTTGCTTCTCTAGTTTTTTTAATTGTCATGTTAGGGTGTCAATTTTAGATCTTCCCTGCTTTCTCCTGTGGGCATTTAGTGCTATAAATTTCTCTCTAAACACTGCTTTAGCTATGTCCCAGAGATTCAGGTACTTTGTGTCTTTGATTACATTGTTTTCAAATAACTTATTTATTTCTGCCTTAATTTTGTTATTTACCCAGTAGGCATTCAGGAAAAAGTTGTTCAGTTTCCATTTAGTTGTGTGGTTTTGAGTTAGTTTCTTAATCCTGAGTTCTAATTTGATTGTAATGTGATCTGAGAGACTGTTTGTTATGATTTCTGTTCTTTTACATTTACTGAGGAGTGTTTTGCTTCCAATTTTGTCATCAATTTTAGAATAAGTGTGATGTGGTGCTAAGAAGAATGTATATTCTGTTGATTTGGGGTGGAGAGTTCTGTAGATGTGTATTACTTCCACTTGGTCCAGAACTGAGTTCAAGTCCTGAATATCTTTCTTAATTTTCTGTCTGGTTGATCTGTCTAATATTGACAGTGGGGTGTTAAAGTCTCCTGCTATTATTGTTTGGGAGTCTAAGTCTCTTTGTAGGTTGCTGAGAACTTGTTTTATGAATCTGGGTGCTCCTGTATTGGGTTTATATGTATTTAGGATAGTTAGCTCTCCTTGTTGCACTGATCCCTTTAATATTATGTAATGCCCTTCTTTGTCTTTTTTGATCTTTGTTGGTTTAGTGTCTCTTTTATCAGCGACTAAGATTGCAACCTCTGCTTTTTTTTTTTTTTTTTTTTTTTTTTTTGCTTACCATTTGCTTATTAAATCTTCCTCCATCTTTTTTATTTTGAGCCTATGTGTGTTGTTGCTGTGAGATGGGTCTCCTGAATACAGCACACTGACGGGTTTTGACTCTTTATCCAATTTGCCAGTCTGTGCCTTTTAATTGGGGCATTTAGCCCTTTTACATATAAATATATGTAACCCATCACATAAACAAAACCATTGACAAAAACCACATAATTATCTCAATAGATGCAGAAAAGGCCTTTGATGAAATTCAACACCCCTTCATGCTAAAACCTCTCAATAAACCAGGTATTGATGGAACGTATCTCAAAATAGTAAGAGCTATTTATGACAGACCCACAGCCAATATCATACTGAATGGGCAAAAGCTGGAAGCATTCCCTTTGAAAACTGACACAAGACAAGGACTCCCTCTCTCACCACTCCTATTCAACATAATATTGGAAGTTCTGGCCGGGGCAATCAGGCAAGAGAAAGAAATAAAGGGTAGTCAAATAGGAAGAGAGGAAGTCAAATTGTGTCTGTTTGCAGATGACATGATTGTATATTTAGAAAACTACATTGTCTCAGCCCACAATCTCCTTAAGCTGCTAAGCAACTTAAGCAATTTCTCAGTATACGAAATCAATGTACAAAACTCACAAGCATTCCATGCACCAATAATAATGAAATGGAGAGCCAAATCCTGAGTGAGTTCCCATTCATAATTGCTAAAAAGAGAATAAAATACCTAGGAATACAACTTACAAGGGACGTGAAGTACCTCTTCAAGGAGAACTACAAACCACTGCTCAAGGAAATAAGACAGGACACAAACAAATGGAAAAACATTCCATGCTCATGGATAGGAAGAATCAGTGTCATGAAAATGGCCATACTTCCCAAAGTAATTTATAAATTCAATGCTATCCCCATCAAGCTACCATTGGCTTTCTTCACAGAATTAGAGAAAACTACTTTAAATTTCATATGGAACCCAAAAAGAGCCCGTATATCCAAGACAATCCAAAGTAAAAAGAACAACGTTGGAGTCATCACGCTACCTGACCTCAAACTATACTACAAGGGTACAGTAACCAAAACAGCATGGTATTGATATGAAAACAGATATATAGACCAAGGGAACAGAACAGAGCCCTCAGAAACAATGCCACACATCTACAACCATCTGATCTTCAACAAACCTGACACAAACAAGCAATGGGGAAAGGATTCCCTATTTAATAGTGTTGGGAAAACTGGCTGGCCATATGCAGAAAACAAACTGGACCCATTCCTTACACTTTATACAAAAATTAACTCAAGAAGGAGAAAAGACTTACATGTAAGACCTAAAACCATAAAAACTCTAGAATAAATCTAGGCAGTACCATTCAGGACATGTGCATGGGCAAAGATGTCATGACGAAAACACCAAAAGCAATGGCAACAAAAGCCAAAATTGACAAATGGGATCTAATTAAACTAAAGAGCTTTTGCACAGCAAAAGATACTATCATCAGAGTGCACAGGCAACCTACGGAATGGGAGAAAATTTTTGCAATCTATTCATCTGACAAAGGGCTAATATCCAGAAGCTATGAAGAACTTAAACAAATTTACAAGAAGAAAATAAACAACCCCATCAAAAAGTGGGTGAAGGATATGAACAGACACTGCTCAAAGGAAGACATTTATGCAGCCGACAAACATATGAAAGAAAGCTCATCATCACTGGACATTAGAGAAATGCAAATCAAAACCAGAATGAGATAACCTCTCACACCAGTTAGAATGGTGATCAGTAATGTCAGAAACAACACATTCTGGAGAGGATGTGGAGAAATAGAATGCTTTTACAATGTTGGTGGGAGTGTAAAGTAGTTCAACCATTGTGAAAGACAGTGTGGTGATTCCTCAAGGATCTAGAACCAGAAATACCATTTGACCCAGCAATCCCATAACTGGGTATATACACAAAGGATTATAAATTATTCTACTATAAAGACACATGCACACGTATGTTTATTTCAGTACTATTTACAATAGCAAAGATTTGGAACCAACCCAAATGCCCATCAATGATCGACTGGATAAAGAAAATGTGGGACATATACACCATGGAATACTATGCAGCCATAAAGAAAGAATGAGTTCATGTCCTTTGCAGGGACATGGATGAAGCTGGAAACCATAATTCTCAGCAAACTAACACAAGAACAGAAAACCAAACACCGCATGTTCTCACTCATAAGTGGGAGTTGAACAATGAGAACACATGGACACAGGAAGGGGAACATCACACACTGGGGTCTGTTGGGGGTGGGAGGCTAGGGGAGGGATAGCATTAGGAGAAATACCTAACGTAGATGACAGGTTGATGGGTGCAGCAAACCACCATGGCACGTGTGTACCTAGGTAACAAATCTGCACATTCTGCACATGTATCCCAGAACTTAAAATATAATAAAAATAAATAAATATTTAAAAAAACACAAACCAATAAATTCAATGAATGTAAAACAATAATTTTGTGTTAAAAAATGTCTGGTTAGTTTTTGTTCTAAACTAAAATAGCTGTTTTTGTTTAAAGAAAGTTTAAGACAAAGCAAAATGTCTAAACGTAATCAATGGTCAGTACAAGTTGTAATAAAGTTCATATAAAATTTATTAAAAAAAGAAATATAAGTGACTAGAAAAATAAAAAAGAAATAAAGAATGCATTTCATGGGCTTATTCATGATCCAAACCCACTTTTAAATAACACTATACCACTTCATGGGAAGTGCAAGTACCTTTTAATAACAAAGTAGTACTAATTTCTCCCTCCTGTTCTTTTTGTTATTGCAGTCTTTTATTTTCCTTATACATAAGCATATATAAGAATTCATAATTGAACGTATTGTTGCTATTATTATTCTGAATGAACTATTACCTGTTAAATCAATTAAGAATTAAAAAATAAAAATGTTAATTTTTCCATCACTTATTTTTTCTCTGATGCTTTTACTTTTCTTATGTAGATTTCAGTTTCTGTCCCACAAAATTTCCCTTCTCTCCAAATAACTTCTTTTAAAGTTTTACTGGCAAGTCAATGATACTGGCAACAAATTCCATTAATTACTATTTGTCTGAAAAAAAGTCGTTATTTCTCCTTCACTTTGGAAGAATAATTTTGCAGAGTATACAACTCCAGGTTTATGGTTTTATCTCTCAACACGTTAAATTTTTCACTTCACTTTCTTCTTTATTGCATGATTTCTGAATATAAATCATATATAATTCTGATTTTTGTCCCCATACAGGCAAAGTGTGTTTTTATGTTTTGTTTTTAAATTTCTTTTGATTTTTTATTTTCTGTACTTTGAATATAATATTTCTAAGTGTAGTTTTGGGGCATTCATTCTGCTTACTGTTCTTTAAGCTTTCTGTATCTTTGGTGTTTCACATTAACATGGAAGTTTTCAGTCATGACTGCTTCAAATATTTCTTCTGTTCCTTTCTTTCTTCCTGATTCTTTTTGTATTGTCATTACACAAATGATAAACCTTTTGTAGTTGTCTCATAGCTCTTGAATACTCTGTTCTCCTTTTTTATAGTCTTTATTCTCTTTGCTTTTCAGTTTGGGATGTTTCTATGGAGATATCCTCAAGCTCATTGATTCTCTTCTCAGCCATGTCCAGTTTACTAGTAAGCCCATGAAAGGCATTCTTTATTTCTGGTATATATTTTTATCTCTATCTTTACTTTTTGTTATTTTATTATAATTTCCATCTCTCTGCTCATATTGCCTATCTGTTCTTGTGTGCTTTTTACTTTATCCATTAGAGTTTTTGGCATATTAATCATAGTTGCTTTGAATTCCCAGTGATAATTCTAACATCCTTGCCACATGTGCATCTGGTTGTGATGTTTGCTCTTTCTTTTCAAACTGTGGTTTTTGCCTTTAATGTGCCTGGTAACACTTTTCTTGATAGGTGGATATGATGTTCTGGATAAAAGAAATTTCTATATGAAGGATGTGGTTGTAAGTTGTAATGGGAAGGAGAATCTTCTATAGTTCTATAATTAGGTCTCAGTCTTTTAGTAAGCCTGTGCCTCTGGACTGTAAATTTTGAAAGTGCTTCTTGGTCTTTCCCCCTCAAGTGGGACTGGATGGCTAGGTGAGCTGGAGTTGGATACTTGTCTTCTCTCATGTGAAAGGCTAGAAGAAGCTCAAGTTGGGTATTTCTCTTCCCATAAGTCAGTTAGGCTCTGATAAATTTCCAGTAGTTTAGGCATTGGTTAAATAGTTTCTCTTAAAGGCAGGCCTTATTAAGAATAACTGAATTATATGATTTATTTTTAAAATGGTTTATTTTCCCTTCCTCATGCTGGAAGCACAAGGGGAATTTTCTTTGATATCTACTCTGAGAACGCAGCACTCAAAAACATTTGGTGGTGAACGTATAACTGGGTGCCATTAAAGCTTTTATCTTTCAGGTTTATACACAATGTCTCCATCAATTTGTCAATTACAGTTCATATTTCTTTATCTGGCACTGGTTTCCACGGAAGTTCCTGCTTATGGGTTCCTATTCTGGCAAGCTGTGATTCCCTGTATTTGTCTGTCTGTATCTCTATTTTGGGGAGAGCAGTTTGACTCATTTTTGTACAAATCTTATGAGTTGTTTATTGTTCAATTTTTTCAGTTTTTTTTTAACTTTTTATTAGAATGCATTAGTGACTTTAAACTTTTTACATGCTGTACCTGAAGCCAGAAGTAACCTTAAGATTTTAATGGTATAATTCATTTGATGCAACTAGAAATGACATGATAGAGTTCTATACTATTTTCAAAGAGCAATTATTAAACAATAGATAAAAATTTACTCGAAGTTCATGTCAACCTCATTATATGATGATTTAAATATATTCATAGTGTTAGGTGCGGCATATAGGGATGTTTTCTCCTGTGATCCTGTAGGTTCACTAGAGGAGATATTTCTGGTATAATTTGTTACTACATAGTAAAGAGCTCAGAGAAACTTAACTGTTCAAATTTTCCCCCCAAAATTAAATTGATTAGTCATCCTAGAATGAAAATTGATCCACTGGAGGAGAAGTCAACAAAACTAATATACCTTTCATCAAATATAATCATGGAATATTTGCCAGCTAAATTTAATAGAACACTACAAACTTGGAACGGAAAAGACAACTTACAGAATTCTCCCCACCTCCCACTAAGTAACCTTGACCCATGTATGCTTATGAACAAGAAAAAGAATGTCCATTTATGAAAAAGAGTGTAACAATATGGTGAGCAGCAAAAATATTGTTGTTATACCTCTTCAAAATTTGAAATAATATTTCATTTAGTTTTATTGGATTGTACAACTAACCATCCTTTCTGAGGTGAAGTAGTATTGTATTCTTGGTTTCACAATACATGTCTATGTGGTATCCTAGATATTTTTCATTTGTGTCTTTTAAAAGTATACTTAATTGATCCTTATCCTCTTCATCTACAGGATTCAAAGTTAAAACAAAAATATATAAAATGTAGATTTAAGTGTCACTTGCCTATGAAATACACACACGACTGCTCAGAGTATTCTGATATTTAGATATTAAATGTTAATATACATTTTAAAAAGGCAAAAAGCCACTAATTTCCATATATTGTAATAATGATTTCTTAGATTTATAAAAGTTTATTTATTACTCAGATTCAATACTGATATTTGAAAACAATCCAAGGAATAAGAGGTAAAGAAAAAAGTCCCACAAGTTTATTTTTCCCTTTCTAATTCACATTTTTTCACCAAATGAGACCATATCTACATAATGTATGCATTCGCAATGAAGTATCCTTTAGAAGATGGGAGTTGGGTAAACAAGTATTTTTTCTCCATTTAAAATCCAAATAATGTCAAATGGCTTCTATGATTAGACACCTATTTCATGCAAAACACTCCATGTAGGCATAAGTGCTAGTCTCTTCTCTTTTCCTACCTTATATTTAAAGAGTATTTATAAATAAAATATAGTACACTATTACAAAATGTACAGAAATAAATAATTGTAAGAGTAAACTAAAAACAATTGTATGCCAACAAATTAGATAACCTAGATAAAATTGACAAAGTTCTGAAAACACACAAATAACCACATCTCGCTCAAGGATAAATACAAATTCTAAAAAGACCTTTAAAAAGTAAAGAAATTAAATCAGTATATAAAACAACCTAACAACAAAAATTCCACTACCAGATGGCTTCATTGCTGAATTTTACTAAACATTTAAAGAAGAATTAACAGAGAGTGATGTAAGATGGCTTAATAGTATGTCCCCAGACCTTGTGCATACCCAGAGAAACACCAATCTGGCAACTATCTATGTACAAAAGTGCATTTATTGAAGATTAGGGAACCTGGTAGGAGGTTGCAACACCCCAGTAGAGCCCAAGATAGAGAAAATCCATCTGGGGAAGGCAGGCTCATGGGGCCGGTTACAGTGGCTCACACCTGTAATCCCAGCACTTTAGGAGGCTGAGGGGGGCAGATCACAAGGTCAGGAGTTCGAGACCAGTCTGGCCAACATGGCGAAACCTCGTCTCTACTAAAAATACAAAAAAGTAGCCAGGCGTGGTGATGCGCGCCTGTAATCCCAACTACTCCGGAGGCTGAGGCAGAAGAATTGCTGGTACCCGGAAGGCGGAGGTTGCAGTGAGCCGAGATCGAGCCATTGCACTCCAGCCTGAGTAATAGAGCAAGACTCCGTCTCGTGGCGGAAACCTGCTTGGGCATGTGCACCCCTTTGAACCAACAAGGCAAAGTTCTCCAGCCTCTGTCTCACAGCAGATACTAAGGGGACCCAGTCTCAGTTCTGGCCCTTTCTGTAGCAGTCAAGGAGCAATCCTAACTGTAATGGACAACCATCTGATCCAATAAGATGGGCTCACCAGCCTTCACCTGACACAGCATATCCTGAGCGGGGAGTGGTCTCAAGCCCTTCGTATTGCAGTTGGATAAGTATTCCATCTGTGCAGGGACCTGCTGGAAGGCATACCCATCTGGGCCAGTGGGAATCTCCTGAGCTTGAGCCCCAGGTCAGCTTTACCACACAGCCTCAGTAGCCTCCTTGAGTCTTCCCCAGGTCCATCTGGGTTGCAGAGTTACATCAAACTTGGAGCCTTTGTGAGACTCATGGCTGATCTGAGCTTAGAGTGCCTCCTAGTGCTGAGACAGCTGCTGTGATGACTGTCTCAGAAAACGCAATGGTCTGCTTAGAATCTCTGGAGGACCTTCTTAAAATGGGGAAACACAAAAAAAGCCAGACTGCAAAAACTGGAATAAATATCCAATTTCTCAATACACAGATATCATTGCACTTCTACAAGCATCAAGAACATTCAGGGAAATATAACCTCACAAAATGAAGAAAATATGGCAACAGATACTAACCTTAAAGTGTTAGAGATGTGTTAACTCTCAGACAGAGGATTCAAAGGAGCTATTTTAAGAAAGCTTAATAAAATTCAAGGAAACACAAATAATTCAAAAATTTATGAAGGAAAGTTGACAGAGAAGTTGAAATAATAATTTTAAAAAAATCGAGAGCTATTTTTTTGTACCCATTAATCATCTCCGCCTGTCTCCCACTTCCTCACTACCTTTCCTAGCCTCTGGTAACCATCCTTTTACTCTCTATCTCTAAGCTGAGAAATACGACAAACAAAATCAAAATGCAATAGAGAGCATCAACAACAGACTTCATCAAGTAGATGAAAGAAATAGTAAGTTTGAAAATAGGCTATTTGAAAATAGTCAGAGGAGAAAAAAACAATTAAAGAGTAATAAAGAAAGTTTACAGGATCTATGGGACAACATAAAAGGATCAGAAATTTTGGTTATTGGAATTGAAAAGGGAATTGAGAAAGACAAAGGTGGTAGAGCGGCTATTTAAAGAAATAAGATAGCTTTCTAAACCTAGAGAAAGATACAAATATCCCGGTAGAAGATCGAATGTCACCAGTCAGATTAAACCTAAATATGAATACCTAAAGATATATTATAAGCCAACTCTCAAAGTTCAACAAAGACAAGATTCTGAAATCAGTGAGAACAAGGAAGCAAATAACATATAAGGGAGATCAAAAATACCTGACATTTAATTCCTCAGCAGAAACCTTACATGCCAGGAGGGAATAAAATGACAAATTCAGAGCACTAAAATATGCCACACAAGAGTACTGAACCCCACAAAGCTATACTTCAGAAATCATGGAGAGATAAAACACTCCCAGAAAAAGGAAAGCTGAGATAATTAATCCTCACCAGTTCTATTCTACAAGAAATGTTAGAAGTTCTACAGACCAATAGAAAAGGACATCAACATGACTGTTATTCTAATACTGTATTCACGATGTGTAAACTACTTATATCTTTAGTGTGAACACTAAAACACAAAAATATTAATAATAATAATAACTACAATAATTTGTTAAGAGATAATCAATATAGCAAATGTAAATTGTGACAAGAATTCAAAATATGAAGAGAGAATGTAAAACACAGAGTTACTTTTGTTTCTTTTTTACTTGCAATCAAATTAAGTTGCCATAAGGAGAAAATAACTTTTTTTATTAAAGTTGTATTTTTTTGTAAGCTTCATGGTAACCAGAAGCAAAATCCTACAATAGATACACTGAAAATGAATAGCAACGAATCAAAACATACAACTAGAGAAAATAACCACAAAAGAAGACTGTAGGAGAAGAAGAAAGAAGGAAAGGATCTATAAATCAAACAGAAAACAAGTTACAGAAGGGCAGTACTTAGCCCTTACACCCCAATAATTACCTTGAGTATAAATAGACTTAATTGCCTAATTAAAAGACATAGAGTTGCTGAATGGATTAAAAAGCTAGACCTAACTCTTTCTGTCCTACAAGAGACTTCCACAGTTAGAACATGAATATAATGAAAATGAAAAAAATGGAAAAAGACATTCCATGCAAATGAAAACCAAAAGAGAACAGGAGTAACTACTTACATCAGAGAAAATAGATGTTAATCAAAAAATGTAAAAAGAAAGAAGGCAATTACATAATGACAAAGGGGTCAATACAGCAAGCAGATACAATTATAAATATATATGCAGTCAACATAGGAGCACCTAAATTTATAAACAAATACTAACAGACAGTAAGTGAGAGATAGACTGAAATGCAATATTAATAGGGGACTTCAGCACCTGAATTTCAGCAATGGACATATCCAGAAAAAAACTCAACACAGAAACACCAGAATTAAACCACACTCTAGACAAAATGCACCTAATAGCATTTATAGAACATTTCATACATAGCCACAGAATACACATTCTTCTCAGCAGCACATGAAACATTCTCCAGGTTAGATTACATGTGAAGCCAAAAAAAAGTTTTACACATTTTTAAATTGTAATTGTATGAGTTATTTTTTGAAAACAGTGGAATAAAGCTAGATATCAACAAAAAAGCAACACTAGAAAATGCACGAATACATGAAAATTAAACATTACCCTGAATAACCAGTGGGTCAATGAAGACATTAAAAAATAAAATTAAACATTTTTGAGACAAATGAAAATGGAAACACACCATACCAAAACCTATGGAAATCAGCAAAAGCAGTACTACGAGGGAAGTTTATAGCAATAAATGCTTACATCAAGGAAGTAGAGAAACTTCAAATAAACAATCTAACCTCACTCCTGGACAACTAAAAAATAACACAAACTAAACACAAAATAAATAGAAATAAATAAAAAATTAAGATCAGTACAGAAACGGGGACTAAAAAACATAAAACGAAGTCTTGGTTGTTTGAAAAGATAAAGAAAATTGACAAACCTTAAGCTAGACTAAGGAAAAAAGATGACTCAAATAAAAGCAGAGATGAAAAAGGAGATATCAGAATTTATTTCACACAAATGCAGACTACTATGAACAAGTATATGACAGACTACTATGAACAAGTATATGTTAAAAAATTAGAAAACTTAGAATAAATGATAAATTTCTGGACACATCCAACTTACCAACATTGAACCTTGAAGCAATAGGAAACCTAAACAGACCAACAGCTATCAATGTGATTGAATCACTAATGAAAAGTCTGCCATTGAAGAAAAGCCCAGTACCTGATGGTTTCACTGCTGAGTTATATCAAACATTTAAAAAAGAGTTAATACCAATTATTCTTAAACTATTTTTAAAATTTGAAGTTCAGGGAACTCTTCCAAACTTATTCTACAAGGCCAGCATTACCTTAATACCAAAACCAGACAAAAACACAATAGAAAAAGAAAAAAACTAGAAGCTAATATCTCTGACAAATGTAGGTGAAAATACTCTCAACAAAATACTAGCAAACTGAATTCAACAGCATGTCAAAAATATCATTTATCATGATCAAATGCGATTCATCACAGGAATGTAAATATGATTCAGCATATGCAAATCAATAAATGTAATACATCACTTATCAGAATAAAAGAAAATAATTATATGATAATTTCAATAGATGCAGAGAAAGCATTCAATAAAACTGAAAATTTTAATATAACAAAACCCCTAAAAATATGTATGGAAGAAATATACCTTAACACAATAAAGGGATACATGATGAATCCATAGTTTAAAAGTTTTTCTCAAAAATCTAGAAGACAAGAATGCCAACTTACCCAACTTCCATTTATTATAGTACTAAAAGTCCTAGCCAGAGTGATTAGACAAGAGAAAGAAATAAAGGGCATCCAGATAAAAAAAAGGAGTCAAACTGTCCGTGTTTGCAGATGATATGATCTTGTAACAAGTGACATAAATATAAATACCACATGATGTCACTCATATGTAGAATCTAATAAAGCTGCTATCATAGAAGTAGAGATCAGAAAAATGGTTACCAGAAGCTGGGAAGAGTAGGCAGTGGGGAAAATGAAAAGTGGTTGGTCAACAGGTACAAAGTTATAGTTTAATAGAAGAAATAATTCTTGGTATTCTATTGCACAATGCAGTGATTATAGACAACAACAAGATATTATATAATTCAAAATAGCTAGATGAGAAGATTTTGAATGTTTTAACCACAAAGAAATGTCAAGTGTTTGAGGTGATAAATATGATAATTATCCTGAATTGATCATTTACACAATGTGTGTACGTATACCACTGTACTCCATAAATATGTATAGTTATTATTTGTCAAAACAAAGTAACACTTATAAAAAATGAGAACATTCACAAATACGTGGAAATTAAATCATACACTGTTAAACAACTATTGGGTTAAAGAAGACATGAAAAAGAAAATTAGAAAATACTTTGAGACAAACAAAAATGAAAATATAAAACGTATGGAATGTGACTAAAACAGAACTAAGAGAAAAGTTCATAGCAATAAACAACTACATTTAAACAATAAATGTATCCAGTAAATAACTTAACATTGCATCTGAAGAAACTAAAAAAAGAACTAAGTACAAAATTGACAGAATAAAGAAAAAAATGAAATTAAAGCAAAAATAAATGAGAGAAAAGAAAGAAAACTCAAAGTTTGTTTTTAGAGAAGGTAAACTTACTCAACAATCTCTTATCTAAACTAAGATAAAAAGGAGGGATTCAAACAAATAAAATCAGAAATGAAAGAGAAGACAGGAAAACTGATCTCACGGTGATAAAAAGGATCATAAAGGACTATTGTGAACAACTGCATAACAACAAACTGGACAACTTAGAAGTCAAGAAACTCTTAGAAAAATACAACTTATCAAGACTGGATGAAGAAGAGATACAAAGCCTGAGCAGACCAGTAACAAATAAGGACACTAAAGGAGTAGTAAAAATAACTCTTAGCAAAGGAAAATACAGGACCAGATAGTATCATGGATGAATTTTACCAAATATTAAAAAAAAAAATGAATACCAATTCTTTTAAACTCTTCCAAAAAATGAGACAACACTTCCAAACTTTTTTATGAGCCCTGCATTACCATGATTTCAAAGCCAGATAAAGACACCATAATAAAAGAATAGATCAGAATTTTTTATGAAGTTAGACCTCAAAATCCTCAATAAAATACTAGCAAACCAAATGCAGCAGCATTTTAAAAGAACCAAACAACATGACCAAGTCAGATTCATTTCAAGGATTCAAGGATGGTTCAATATACACAGATCTATAAATGTTATATACGACATCAACAGAAAGAAGAATAAAATCATATTATTATCTCCTTAGATACAGAAAAAGCTTTTGGAAAATATTAATACTGTTTCACAAAAACTCTCAACCAATTAGAGCTACAAAGAATGTATCTCAACACAATAAAAACCACATATGACTAGCCCACAGCTAACATCATACTCGATAATTTCAAAGCTGAAAGGTTTCCCTCTAAATCCAGAATAAGGTAAGAATGTCCACTCTCACCTCTCCTATTAAACATAATATTGAATGTCCTATCCAGAGCAATTAGGCAAGAACAATTATTAGAAAGTATATAAATCGAAAGAAGTAAAACTATCTCTGTTAAAGAAGACACTATTTTATATGTAAAATAAACCTAAAGACTCCATAAAATAACAGATACATGAGTGAATTCGGTAACTTTGAAGAATACAAAATCAACATACAAAATCAATTGTGTTTCTAAATACTAACAACAAAGTATCCAAAAAGTAAATTAAGGAAACAATTTTATTTACAACAACGTAAAAATTAATAAAATACTTAGGAATAAAGAACGAAGAAGGTGAAAGTATTGTACATTAAAAACCAAACATTGACAGAAACAAATTTTAAAGACAAAAATAGAAGGACATCCTTTTTTCATAGATTGGAAGAATTAACATTGTTAAAATGTCTACACTTCTTAAGTAATCTACAGATTCAATACAATCTCTACCAAATTCCCAAAGGCATTTTTTACAGAATTAGAAAAAAGTTATAAAATGTATTTCAATACAGAAAATGTTTCCAAATAGCCAAAGCAATTTCTACCAAGAGCAAAGTTGGTGGTATCACATTCTTTTTGGTTTCAAAACATATTACAATGCTACTGTAATCAAAAGAGTATGGTACTGGCAGGAAAACTGACATACAGGCTAATGGAACATAATAGAGGCCAAAAATAAACCCATGCATATACAGTCAACCCCATTAAAAAATGGACAAAGGACATGAACAGACACTTGTCAAAAGAAGACACACATGTGGCCAAGAAGCATATGAAAAAAATGTTCAACATCACTAATGATTAGAGAAATCCAAATCAAAAGCACAATGAGATACCATTTCACATCAGTCAGAATGACTATTATTAAAGAGTCAAAAAAATAACAGATGCTGGTGAGGTTACAAAGAAAAAGGAATGCTTATACACTGATGGTGAGAATGTAAATTAGTTCAACCAATGTGGAAACCAATTTGTAGATTTCCCAAACAACTTAGAACTACCTTTCAACCCAGCAATTCCATTACCAGGTATATATCCAAAAGAACATAAATTGTTCTATCATAAAGACACATGCATGTGTATAATGTGTATGTTTATGGCAGTACTATTCTCAATAGCAAAGGCATGGAGTCAACCTAGATGCCCATCAGTGGTGGACTGGATAAAGAAAATATGTTACATATACACCATGGAATACTATGCACCCATAAAAAGAATGAAGTCATGTTCTTTGCAGCAACATGGATGGAGCTGGAGGCCATTATCCTAAGTGAGTTCACAGGCACAGAAAACCAAATGTCACATGTTCACACTTATAAGTGGTATCTAAACACTGAGTACACATAGACACAAAGAAGAGAAAACTAGACACTGGGGCTTACTTGAGGGTGGAGGGTACAAGGAAGGTGAGGATCAAAAAACTACCTATTAGCCACTATGCTCATTACCTGTGTGATAAAATAATCTGTATACCAAACCCCTATGACATGCAATTTACCTATATAACAAGCCCACACATGTACCCACTAAACCTAAAGTAAAAGTTGGAAAGAAAAAATAAATGCATTTTTGTATATTAATTATACCTCAAGCTATTTGTTTTAAAAGCACATTATTAAGAGAGTAAAAAGGCAATTTAAAGCATGCTAGAGAATATTTTCAAATCGCATATTTAATAAAGGTGTAGTATATAAAATATGCAGAGAACTTTTACAACACAACAACTTTTTAATTGGGTTGTTTGTCTTCTTTATTATTTTGTACAAAACAATAAAAAAATCTGAATGGACATTTCTCCAAAGAAAACAGTCAAATGGCCACCAAATACAGGAAAGGATGCTCAACATCATTAGGCATTAAGGAAATGCCAATATAAACTACAATGTGGTATTACTTTGTACCTACTAGGATGGCTATAATAAAAGAAAAAAATGGAAAATTAAAAATGTTTGCAACGATGTGGAGAAATTGAAACCCTTGTGCATTGCTGGTAGGAATGATAAATATTTCAAATTATTGGAAACAAGTTGGCAGTTACTCAAAAATTACTTAAATTTTAGGTTTAATAGATTTTCTATATGACTTCATAATTCTGATTCTCAGTACATGCCCAAACGGTTTGAAAATAGGTACTCAAAAATACATGTGTTTATGTGTTCACTATTCAGAATAGGCAAAAGGTGGAAACAGATGAAATGTTCATCAATAGATGAATGTATAACAAATTGTACATTCAGCTATAAAATATAATTGAATACTGACACATGTTACAACATTGAGGAACCTCCAAAACATAATATTAAGAAGAAAAAGACAGACACAAATAGTCATATATTACATGATTCCATTTATATAAAATATTCATAATAGATAAATACATGGAGATGGAATGCAAAGTGATTATTGCCAGGGAGTAGATAGGAGGAGAAAAAAGTTGGGAGAAACTGCTTAATGGGTAAGGGGTTTTACTTTGGAGTGATGGAAATATTTTGAACTAGATAGAGGTAGTGGTTGAGCAACATTGTGAATGTACTAAATGCCACTGAATTTTTCACTTTAAAATGGTTAATTTTATCTCATATTAATTTCACCTCTATAAATTATTATTTTATAAAGAATGTATAGTTCATTCCCACCCCCTCAGCTGATAGTAGCCGTCAACTCTTTGAGTAATATATTAGTTTTCCATTGCTGCTGTAACCAATTACCACAAACTCAGTAGTTGAAAGCAACACATATTTATTATCTTACAGTTCCGCAGATCAGAAGTCTAGAATCTGTCTTACTGAGCTATAATTAACGTGTCAGCCGGATGCATTCTTTTCTGGATGCTCTAGGAGATAATCTATGTCTTTGCCATTTTCAGCTTCTACAGTCTGCTCATATTATGTGGCTTGTGGCCCCTTCCTTCACCTTCAAACCAAGTAATTTTGCACCTCTCCAACCATTGTTCCACAGTCACATCTCACTCTGACTGACTACAGCAGGGAAAAGCTCTCAAACTTTGTGGGTTTATGAAATTAGATGAAGTCCACGTGGATAATTCAGGATAATTATCCGATCTCAAGGGCTTTAATCACACCCGCAAAAGTCCATTTTTTTTTTTTCATTTTGCCATATAAAGCAGCATATTCACAGGTTTCAAGGATTGGAATGTAGACATTTTTGGGGGTCCATTATTCTGTCTTTCACATGCTGGGATTTTGTTTCACTGTGGGCTAACCTTAAACGCTATCCATGCTAGAGTAAGAAGAAGGAAATATCTTAACCTAGAGTAAATAGGACAAGAGATACTGCAGATTTCCAATGACATTTGGGTGCCTACTATTTTTAATTAGGTCTGTATGGTCAACTTCTCAAGTGAATAATTTGGTTTTAAAATTTGCCCCACATTTTCCCCATTTGCTGGCTACCCACTATTACCTACCAACAAGGATCAAATCCAGTATAATTTCAAAATTAAACTATTGCACAGTATAATTAGTTGGTTAGCAGAATTTTAAACACAGTTCAAAACTCTGGCTTTACCATTTACTGGATGAAGTACCTTGAGCAGTTACTTAATTTCTCTGTACTTCAGTTTTCTCATCTGTAAATTTGTATATAATAGTATCTACCTCATAATGTTGTTATGAGAATTACATAAAATATGTGTGTAATGTGTGTATTGTATAGAGCAGAGCTCGTGGCCCATAGACAGCTTTCAACTTTTTATCAGACAGACATGTCTCTCCAAGCAGGGAGAAAGCATCCAATACATTCATTTCAATTAAAGTGCTAGAAAATAGATGTGATACAATTGAATTTTATTTTCAAAAGGAGGCATGGAAATAACAAGGTTTAACTAAAAGAGTTCAATCTCTAATGGTAGAACTGATTATATTGTGAGACTTAAATGGGGGAGAAACTTTCAGTGAGGAGTCTTTCTAAGACACCACAGTTAATGGTCACCTCTAATAAGTTTCTGTTCCACCTACTGTTCAAGTTTGCCATTCAGGCATACAAATGCTCAAAATTATTTCTTAATTTGCAAGAAGGACATATTTTCTTTAGCTGCTCCTCACCAAGGCAACATTCTTAGAATTAGTAAATTATTTGTGGAGATGGTCTATATCCATCAAGTCAATTTCTTCCTTTTCATTTCCACTGCCATCATCTTAGACTAGAGATTCAATCCCTCTCCCCTAGACCACTTCATTAGCTTCCAAAATTCATGCAGTATTCTCCTTTTCTACAATCTATCCTCAACAGCAACATAATATCTTTGGTAAAATACAACTTTGACTAAATAATTTCTCTTTTCAATAATCTTTAGTGGTTTCCTGCCCCCTACAAAATTCAGTCAAAATTCTTGCCAGTCATTTAAAAGTATTCACATTCAGACCTCAGCCTGCCTTTACATAGCTTTCTCTCTTTCTTCTCTTCTACGTGTTTCCTCTAGTCCTTTCCTAAAAGACATATCACACATTTTCATCACTACACCTGTGGCCAGAATACTACCTCCCCTGATCTTAATGACCAGTCTAATATCAACTTTGAGATCTTCAACTCTAAGGCATCCATCATATCCTCTAAATTCCTTTAACATTTAGCTCATACACTTTAAGTGATATATAATAGTCACTCATAATGATTTATCTATATATTGAATCCCATCCATTTAAATTATATACTTTTTGAGAGAAGAGATAATGTCCTTCTGACATAACTTGGGACATTTGAGTCAGGATAATAGCTCAACATGTATGAGTTATTATCTGAGACTCCATGAAGCTGGACTTAACTGGGCTTATTAGATAAATGTCAAAAACTGAATAATCAGGAGTGTATGAATATTATAGAAATTGGTAAGCTAATAAATGCAAGAATCTAGATTTGAACAGGTAAAATTAAGAAAGAAAGATCAAAAACAGAGAGACAGAAGAAAGGCTTATGTGAATTCACATATACATAAATGCATAAATTTCAGGGTTTAAAAAAAACCTTAACATGTAATCTAGTCCAATTCCATGTGATGTATGAATCCCTTTGGTCACACTTCCTCATACTGCCTTATTCAATTTTGTGGCTTGTAGAGGATATATGCATATATGTTGAATATTGGATAAATGAATGAAATTTATTCCTTTTACTTATTGCTTAACATCCATAACATGACACTTTAAGGATTTGTTGTATTTTACTTTGCCTTTATAATAAAACCAAAGAAACCTAACAACTAAGTTTCCTTTTTAGAATTCAACTATGTTGTAAATATTATATTTTTTTAGAAAGTATACCCTAAACCTGAGTAACTCTTTGTTCCAATTAGTCATTGTACAATTTAATGCACCTCAGTCACTCTATCAGACCGCCAATCTACCATTTGGTACACTGAAATGTAAATGTTAATAAGGTTTTTCTGTTGTCCCAAAAAAAGGTAATCCAACAGGGAGGCAAAGGGGGTTATAAGGAAAAGAACTTTTGATTGTGAATTTTGAGATTAGATCTGCTATTGACTAGCAGTGTAATTGGTAGTAACTTAACATCTCTGGGCCTCAATTGCCTTTTCTGTTAAACTAAGATAATAAAATCTTGTATCCTTGAGGGCAGAGACTAGAATGAATTAGACTTTCAAATTTTATTCCATTTGGAAGAGTAATTATTCAAAGTAATTGTTGCTAATGGGACATTGATATCAGACTGTAAAGAATACGGTCAAAATATCAGTTTAAAATAATATCAATTAAGCAAAGAAAGCAACCTGATGAATTTAAGCACTAGCAGGAGGAACCTCATCAAAGCTTCTGGTCATTATGTTGGCTAAGAAGTGGAAAGAAGGAAAATAATATCGAGGCCATAATAAGTATTTCACACTAGATTACATAAAATAAACCTAGACTCATTTAAATAAAAATATTATAATAAGGAAACCCACCCTCTTAGCCTATCGAATCAACTTAATTTAATTTGACACATATTTATTAAACCACTTTTATGTGAGGTACTGTGCAAGTTTCAGAAAGGAATATTTCATTATCCTTTCAATCTAGGTACTTATGGCTTAGTGGGAGCAGGCAGACATTTATGCATATTAATAATGCAAGTCGTACTAGAATAAGGGTAAGCCAGAATGAAAAGGAGTTCTATGGGGTTATAAGAAAAAAAAAAAAAAGACTAATGACTCGGAAGATCTGGGAGGAGGCACAGCTGAGACTGTGAAATTTGAACTGGCTCTTGAAGAATGGATAGAAATTTGATCAGCTCTGTCTTGGGGTAGGGATAGTATCAGTCAGTGAGAAATGAACAGCAGGCAAGGCAGAAGGAATACAATGAACATACAACAGAAAGGGCTGGGAAATAATAGGGAGCATCAAGAGTTTTAGGGGAATATTAGTGAGAAATAAAGCTAAAAGTGTGAATTAAAAGGCAAGTTCCCAGTATCCCAATTCGTAATTGGTTTTTAAAAAAACAGTAGTGTTTCCACTTGCTTCAACCTAAGTAAATGTGATTCTGCTCTCAGAACTCTAGAGGGCAGTCTGGCACTTCCTACTAGGGATTAGAACCTAAAACACAAATTTTTTCATTCTAAACATTATTAACACTTTGCAGACATTAATGGGGTTTTTCTACAGATAACCAAAACAACTAATCAATTTTGTCAAATCATTAACAAAACTTGTTGTTACTGGTGTCATATTGACAAAAACTATAGTTGGTTGACTTAAAATTTTCACTTTTCAGGCAAATCCTTTAGTATCTAAAAGAGATATTATCTAAAGATAGTATCTAAAGAGATATAATATTCTCTTTACTGAGATCTCATTGCAAAAATTGTTTTATAGTGACTAGGGTGATAAATATCAGTCCTATTTTATAGGTGAATAAATAAATACAGAGTGAGACAATAGATCAATAATATTTATATAGTAAGTCAAAGGAGGACGCTGAAACAACTAATTTTGGAGAAAGCTATCATTAGTTTCAAAGAGATTGAATACATTTCTCCCATTTCAGGTGCTTTCGCCATTGCATTTAAACACAACAAAAACCCCTTGTAAATAATGCAATTTGTTTTGCTATAAATAAGAATAACTACTTGCATACACATAAGTGTTTTCACGTATATTACCTTGTTTAATCTTCATAAAAACTCACATAATAGACACTGAGCATATTAGTACTCTTATTTTAAAGACTGCTAACTGAAACTCAAATGGATTAGTTGGTTGTCTAAAGTTATGAAACCAGTAAGTAACAAAACCAGGACTAAATTAGAACCTAATGTTGTCACTGCCTAGTCCATTACTATATGTACTATACCTACTACCTACCTTAGTTTTATGAAATTTAACACATTTCAGCAGTTTGAGATAGTCCTAAAAAACAGCTTACAAGTATTTGTCACTGTACAAACCCTCATTGAGAGAGAGACAGCAAGTCACATTCAAAGAAAAACAAAAACATAAATTATGTTTTGATGGTTTTGGTCACTGATCCGAGTGCTCTCTGAAATTAGGGAGAAAATTGTACGTGAATAAAGGGTCATAAGTATTTTTGTTATTGGTATTAATAGAACTAATGGGCTGGATAAATAAAGATGACATTTTAGTTGTAGCCCTGGGTCATATAGAAAACTGCACATTTACACACAAATTAATGTAACAAAGTGTGTCACTAGGAAATAAAAGTTGTTAAGAAAGAATAATATTTTTATTGTTGGAAGTTATGATGCTTACTTTAGTAATTCAAGCTTGGTACTTGAAATACTGTCCTTGCCAGCACTTTTTTAAAAAAAATATTGACAATAGGAAATGCCAGCTCAGGATAAGATAGACACATTTCTATTTAAATTGCTCTCCCTCCAACAGTCTTCTTTATTCTGGGAAGGAGTCCAATTATGACAATCTCATGTGTTCTTGGGTGTAGATTTTTTCATTTGAGGAGCATCAAAGCAGTCCTAAGGGTTTCTTTAAAAAAGGACAGGAGCCTGAGAGGAAGTCTTCAAAAAGTTGGCAAGGAGACAAATAAAATACACTTCACTTTTAAATGAATGCAAAACATTGTGAAACTGTGTCTTAGAGATTATTCCCAACATGCAATTTTAAAAATATTGGCTAGTGTTCACAAAGAAGAGGGCACGCTTACCCCTAACCTCCACATAACAAGCATTCACAATGTCCTTTTCATTAAGATTCTCATTTGTAAGTTTAACTTGTTGTTTTTATTAGGCAAACATTTTAATGTCTTGGGAAAAGGGAAAAACAAAAACATTTTTCTCTTCCATCCTATTTTAAGTGAAGTAATTGAAATGATTATCTTCCATTTATAATTTGAAAAGTCTCCAGTTAATAGATGTTGGGTGGATAGGGGATAAGCTTCACTTTTCTAAAGAAGCTTAATTTAAACATGAATCTATAGCTTGTAGTGGAAAAGTGGGTTTTAAAAATTTCTATTCAGAGCAAAAAGTAAAGAGAAACATGGATCTTCTTCTACTGCCTAAGTTATTTACTTATTTTTCTTTCCTCATGGTGTTCATAGGATTGTCTTACCTACTAAAGAAAGTACACTGGTCAGAACTCTTCACAATTCATCAGTAATAATATCTCATTGGCATAGAAGGAATATAGCTAGTCAAGCAAAATCCCTCGTTTCTCTCAGATTTGACTGGATTACTGACTTTTTCCCCTTAGGGAGCTAGAACTGAATTTAGAAAAGTTGATTTTAGTGAAATTCTCACGATCCCAGAGTTCCACAATAATTTTCTGCTTCTGAAAATTTCTGTGGACATAACCTCATATTATAAGTGAACATTTGAGAGAAAGAAAAACAATTCTTAAAAATAAAAGACTGAGCATGTGATACAAAAAAAAAGATAAGTGAGTGAATAATGATTAACTTTAAGATAAATCTTAAGAAAATGCTTGACATAATAGTGTGGCTGATCTGTTATTACTTATAACTATACTGGTAGTCTGTATCTTTAGCAAGCCTTCACTCTCTTTTCTTGCATAAGATGGACTAATTTCTTCATTTGAAAACTAACTCTGGCAGTAGGTCAGTCTCCAAAACTCCAAAGCAAAAAGAAAGCAAGTTCAATTACATTGTGTTAAATTATATGACTAATTAAAGGACACATATATGAGACATTCGATAGCATAGTGGACGCTACCTTCAATTAGATCTTCAGTAAGCAAGTGTCTTAGTCCATTTTGAATTGCTATAGCAGAATACCTGAGACTGAGCAATTTATTTAATTATTTATTTATTTATTTTTTGTTGTTGTTGTAAATAACTTCAATGTATAAATATACACAGTGCTTTGCAAATCCCAAAAAGGAATTCCTTACTCTTTGTCCATTCTGATTGTCATCTGCAGGCTTTAGAGTAGGAATGTTCCATTTTCCACCCCACACCTTGACTACCACCCCTCACAAGTGACTGTGGGCTTATTGGATTCCAGCATAACCTCTAGCTCATTGGTTGGAAGCTGGTTGAGCTTGCTTGCTCCTTTTCTCCTCAAGGGTCCATGCAGAACCAAAGGCAGCTGGCTGAGTCAGGGGCTGCTCGCTTAGAAGGCTTATGGCTCTCTGGTGCTCTTATTCACTGACAATTTCCCTTTTTTCCGGTTTCTTCCTTTTATGTTGCCATCGAAAGTGCAGTACAATTTGGGGTGATGACCAGGAACTGTGAAGAGGCTCATTATGAGTGCCTAGCCCAGGCTTTGTGATCCAGTTCAGAATCACCCTCCGATTGGCAGTGGTGTCCGGCTACAAAGCCCAGCCAGCAACTTGCGGCATTCCCTGTTTATATCCTCAGGGATTCATGAGGAAGGGTGGCTGTGGCTTGCAGAAGATCTCAGTATTCTGAATGCCCCTTTCATAATACTATCAACATCTTCCCTAATTTCTAATATTGGTCATTTTGGCTAGAGATTGAATTCTTTTTTTTATTTTTATTTTATTATTATTATACTTTAAGTTTTAGGGTACATGTGCGCAAAATGCAGCTTAGTTACATATGTATGCATGTGCCATGCTGGTGTGCTGCACCCATTAACTCGTCATTTAGCATTAGGTATATCTCCTAAAGCTATCCCTTCCCCCTCCCCCCAACCCCCAACAGTCCCCAGAGTGTGATGTTCTCCTTCCTGTGTCCATGTGTTCTCATTGTTCAATTCCCCCCTATGAGTGAGAACATGTGGTGTTTGGTTTTTTGTTCTTGCGATAGTTTACTGAGAATGATGATTTCCAATTTCATCCATGTCCCTACAAAGGACATGAACTCATCAGTTTTTATGGCTGCATAGTATTCCATGGTGTATATGTGCCACATTTTCTTAATCCAGTCTATCATTGTTGGACATTTGGGTTGGTTCCAAGTCTTTGCTATTGTGAATAGTGCCACAATAAACACACATGTGCATGTGTCTTTACAGCAGCATGATTTATAGTCCTTTGGGTATATACCCAGTAATGGGATGGCTGGGTCAAATGGTATTTCTAGTTCTAGATCCCTGAGGAATCGCCACACTGACTTCCATAATGGTTGAACTGGTTTACAGTCCCATCAACAATGTAAAAGTGTTCCTATTTCTCCACATCCTCTCCAGCACCTGTTGTTTCCTGACTTTTTAATGATTGCCATTCTAACTGGTGTGAGATGGTATCTCATTGTGGTTTTGATTTGCATTTCTCTGATAGCCAGTGATGGTGCGCATTTTTTCATGTGTCTTTTGGCTGCATAAATGTCTTCTTTTGAGAAGTGTCTGTTCATGTCCTTCATCCCCTTTTTGATGGGGTTGTTTGTTTTTTTCTTGTAAATGTGTTGGAGTTCATTGTAGATTCTGGATATTAGCCCTTTGTCAGATTAGTAGGTTGCGAAAATTTTCTCCCATTCTGTAGGTTGCCTGTTCACTCTGATGGTAGTTTCTTTTGCTGTGCAGAAGCTCTTTAGTTAAATTAGATCCCATTTGTCAATTTTGGCTTTTGTTGCCATTGTTTTTGGTGTTTTAGACATGAAGTCCTTGTCCATGCCTATGTCCTGAATAGTGATGCCTAGGTTTTCTTCTAGGGTTTTTATGGTTTTAGGTCTAACGTTTAAGTCTTTAATCCATCTTGAATTAATTTATGTATAAGGTGTAAGGAAGGGATCCAGTTTCAGGTTTCTACATATGGCTAGCCAGTTTTCCCAGCACCATTTATTAAATAGGGAATCCTTTCCCCATTGCGTGTTTTTCTCAGGTTTGTCAAAGATCAGATAGTTGTAGATATGCAGCGTTATTTCTGAGGGCTCTGTTCTGTTCCATTGATCTATATCTCTGTTTTGGTACCAGTACCATGCTGTTTTGTTTACTGCAGCCTTGTAGTATAGTTTGAAGTCAGGTAGCATGATGCCTCCAGCTTTGTTCTTTTGGCTTAGGATGGACTTGGCAATGTGGGCTCTTTTTTGGTTCCATAGGAACTTGAAAGTAGTTTTTTCCAATTCTGTGAAGAAAGTCATTGGTAGCTTGATGGGGATGGCATTGAATCTATAAATTACCTTGGGCAGTATGGCCATTTTCATGATATTGATTCTTCCTACCCATGAGCATGGAATGTTCTTCCATTTGTTTGTATCCTCTTTTATTTCATTGAGCAGTGGTCTGTAGTTCTCCTTGAAGAGGTCCTTCAAGTCCCTTGTAAGGTGGATTCCTAGGTATTTTATTCTCTTTGAAGCAATTGTGAATGGGAGTTCACTCATGATTTGGCTCTCTGTTTGTCTGTTATTGGTGTATAAGAATGCTTGTAATTTTTCTGCATTGATTTTGTATCCTAAGACTTTACTGAAGTTGCTTATCAGCTTAAGGATATTTTGGGCTGAGACAATGGCGTTTTGTAGGTATACAATCATGTCATCTGCAAACAGGGACAATTTGACTTCCTCTTTTCCTTATTGAATACCCTTTATTTCCTTCTCCTGCCTAATTGCCCTGGCCAGAACTTCCAACACTCTGTTGAATAGGAGTGGTGAGAGAGGACATCCCTGTCTTGTGCCAGTTTTCAAAAGGAATGCTCCCAGTTTTTGCCCATTCAGTATGATATTGGCTGTGGGTTTGTCATAAATAGCTCTTATTATTTTGAGATACTTCCCATCAATACCTAATTTATTGAGAGTTTTTAGCATGAAGGGTTATTGAATTTTGTCAAAGGCCTTTTCTGCATCTATTGAGATAATCATGTGGTTTTTGTCTTTGGTTCTGTTTATATGCTGGATTACATTTATTGATTTGTGTATATTGAACCAGCCTTGCATCCCAGGGATGAAGCCCACTTGATTATAGTGGATAAGCTTTTTGATGTGCTGCTGGATTCGGTTTGCCAGTATTTTATTGAGGATTTTTGCATCAATGTTCATCAAGGATATTGGTCTAAAATTCTCTTTTTTGGTTGTGTCTCTGCCCGGCTTTGGTATTAGGATGATGCTGGCCTCATAAAATGAGTTAGGGAGGATTCCCTCTTTTTCTATTGATTGGAACAGTTTCAGAAGGAATGGTACCAGTTCCTCCTTGTACCTCTGGTAGAATTCGGCTGTGAATCCATCTGGTCCTGTATTCTTTTTGGTTGGTAAGCTATTGACTATTGCCACAATTTCAGCACTTGTTATTGGTCTATTCAGAGATTCAACTTCTTCCTGGTTTAGTCTTGGGAGGGTGTATGTGTCAAAGAATTTATCCATTTCTTCTAGATTTTCTAGTTTATTTGCGTAGAGGTGTTCATAGTATTCTCTGATGGTAGTTTGTATTTCTGTGGGATCGGTGGTGATATCCCCTTTATCACTTTGTATTGCATCTATTTGATTCTTCTCTCTTTTCTTCTTTATTAGTCTTGCTAGTGGTCTATCAATTTTGTTGATCCTTTCAAAAAAACAGCTCCTGGATTCATTAATTTTTTGAGGGGTTTTTTTGTGTCTCTATTTCCTTCAGTTCTGCTCTGATTTTAGTAATTTCTTGCCTCCTGCTCGCTTTTGAATGTGTTTGCTCTTGCTTTTCTAGTTCTTTTAATTGTGATGTTAGGGTGTCAATTTTGGATCTTTCCTGCTTTCTCTTGTGGGCATTTAGTGCTAGAAATTTCCCTCTACACACTGCTTTAAATGTGTCCCAGAGATTCTGGTATGTGGTGTCTTTGTTCCGGTTGGTTTCAAAGAACATCTTTATTTCTACCTTCATTTCGTTATGTGCCCAGTAGTCATTCAGGAGCAGGTTGTTCAGTTTCCATGTAGTTGAGCAGTTTTGAGTGAGTTTCTTAATCCTGAGTTCTAGTTTGATTGCACTGTGGTCTGAGAGACAGTTTGTTATAATTTCTGTTCTTTTACATTTGCTGAGGAGAGCTTTACTTCCAACTATGTGGTCAATTTTGGAATAGGTGTGGTGTGGTGCTGAAAAGAATGTATATTCTGTTGATTTGGGGTGGAGAGTTCTGTAGATGTCTATTAGGTCCGCTTGGTGCAGAGCTGAGTTCAATTCCTGGGTATCCTTTTTAACTTCTGTCTCGTTGATCTGTCTAATGTTGACAGTGGGGTGTTAGTGTCCCATTATTATTGTGTGGGAGTCTAAGTCTCTTTGTAGGTCACTCAGGACTTGCTTTATGAATCTGGGTGCTCCTGTATTGGGTGCATATATATTTAGGATAGTTAGCTCTTCTTGTTGAATTGATCCCTTTACCATTATGTAATGCCCTTCTTTGTCTCCTTTGATCTTTGTTGGTTTAAAGTCTGTTTTATCAGAGACTAGGATTGCAACCCCTGCCTTTTTTTTGTTTTCCATTTGCTTGGTAGATCTTCTTCCATCCTTTTATTTTGAGCCTATGTGTGTCTCTGCACGTGAGATGGGTTTCCTGAATACGGCACACTGATGGGTCTTGACTCTTTATCCAATTTGCCAGTCTGTGTCTTTTAATTGGAGCATTTAGTCCATTTACATTTAAAGTTACTACTGTTATGTGTGAATTTGATCCTGTCATTATGATGTTAGCTGGTTATTTTGCTCGTTAGTTGATGCAGTTTCTTGCTAGCCTTGATTGTCTTTACAATTTGGCATGATTTTGCAGTGGCTGGTACCGGTTGTTCCTTTCCATGTTTAGCGCTTCCTTCAGGAGCTCTTTTAGGGCAGGCCTGGTGGTGACAAAATCTCTCAGCATTTGCTTGTCTGTAAAGTATTTTATTTCTCCTTCACTTATGAAGCTTAGTTTGGCTGGATATGAAATTCTGGCTTGAAAATTCTTTTCTTTAAGAGTGTTGAATATTGGCCCCCACTCTCTTCTGGCTTGTAGAGTTTCTGCCGAGAGATCTGCTGTTAGTCTGATGGGCTTCCCTTTGTGGGTAACCCGACCTTTCTCTCTGGCTGCCCTTAACATTTTTTCCTTCATTTTAACTTTGGTGAATCTGACAATTATGTGTCTTGGAGTTGCTCTTCTCGAGGAGCATCTTTGTGGCATTCTCTGTATTTCCTGAATCTGAATGTTGGCCTGCCTTGCTAGATTGGGGAAGTTCTCCTGGATAATATCCTGCAGAGTGTTTTCCAACTTTGTTCCATTCTCCCAGTCACTTTCCGGTACACCAATTAGAGTAGATTTGGTCTTTCCACATAGTCCCATATTTCTTGGAGGCTTTGTTCGTTTCTTTTTATTCTTTTTTCTCTAAACTTCCCTTCTCGTTTCATTTCATTCATTTCATCTTCTATCACTGATACCCTTTCTTCCAGTTTATTGCATTGGCTCCTGAGGCTTCTGCATTCTTCACATAGTGCTGTAGCCTTGGCTTTCAGCTCCATCAGCTCCTTTAAGCACTTCTCTGTATTGGTTATTCTAGTTATACATTCGTCTAAATTTTTTTCAAAGTTTTCAACTTCTTTGCCTTTGGTTTGAATTTCCTCCTGTAGCTCAGAGTAGTTTGATCATCTGAAGCCTTCTTCTCTCAACTCATCAAAGTCATTCTCCGTCCAGCTTTGTTCCGTTGCTGGTGAGGAGCTGCATTCCTTTGGAGGAGGAGAGGTGCTCTGCTTTTTAGAGTTTCCAGTTTTTCTGTTCTGTTTTTTCCCCATCTTTGTGGTTTTATCTACTTTTGGTCTTTGATGATGGTGATGTACAGATGGGTTTTTGGTGTGGATGTCCTTTCTGTTTGTTAGTTTTCCTTCTAACAGACAGGACCCTCAGCTGCAGGTCTGTTGGAGTTTGCTAGAGGTCCACTCCAGACCCTGTTTGCCTGGGTTCCAGCAGCGGTGGCTGCAGAACAGCGGATTTTCATGAACCGCGAATGCTGCTGTCTGATCCTTCCTCTGGAAGTTTTGTCTCAGAGGAATACCCAGCCGTGTGAGGTGTCAGTCTGCCCCTACTGGGGGGTGCCTCCCAGTTAGGCTGCTCAGGGGTCGGGGTCAGGGATCCACTTGAGTAGGCAGTCTGCCCATTCTCAGATCTCCAGCTGCCTGCTGGGAGAACCACTGCTCTCTTCAAAGCTGTCAGACAGGGACATTTAAGTCTGCAGAGGTTACTGTTGTCTTTTTGTCTGTGCCATGCCCCCAGAGGTGGAGCCTACAGAGGTAGGCAGGCCTCCTTGAGCTGTGGTGGGCTCCACCCAGTTCCAGCTTCCCAGCTGCTTTGTTTACCTAAGCAAGCCTGGGCAATGGCGGGCGCCCCTCCCCCAGCCTTGCTGCCACCTTGCAGCTTGATCTCAGACTGCTGTGCTAGCAATCAGCGAGACTCTGTGGGCGTAGGACCCTCCAAGCCAGGTGAGGGATATAATCTCCTGGTGCGCCATTTTTTAAGCCTGTTGGAAAAGCACAGTATTGGGGTGGGAGTGACCCTATTTTCCAGGTGCCGTCTGTCACCCCTTTCTTTGACTAGGAAAGGGAACTCCCTGACTCCTTGCGCTTCCCGAGTGAGGCAATGCCTCGCCCTGCTTCGGCTTGCGCACGGTGCGCTGCACCCACTGTCCTGCGCCCACTGTCTGGCACTCCCTAGTGAGATGAACCCGGTACCTCAGATGGAAATGCAGAAATCACCCATCTTCTGCGTTACTCACGCTGGGAGCTGTAGTCCGGAGCTGTTCCTTTTTGGCCATCTTGGCTCCCCGACTGAGCAATTTATAAAGAACAGAAATCTATTTCTTACAGTTCTGAATGCTGGGTGGCCCATATTGGGTGTGGGTGTTCTTGATAATTCATTCTGTGATAGAAGGAGGAAGGGCAGGGGAGCACACACACACAAAAGAGGAGAAAAGTTGTACAAACACATCTTTTTAATCAGGAGACCACTCCATCAATAATAGCATTAATGTATATATGAGGGCAGAGCCCTCATGACCTAATCACCTCTTAAAGCTTTCACCTCTCAATACTGTGGCTTTGGGAGTTAAGTTGTCAACACATGATTTGGGTGGGGGATACATTTAAACCATCACAGAAAAAAAAAAAAGGTCTCTGAAGAGATAATTCTTGTTAGAGTATTTTATAAGAAATACAAAGATTTCAGGCCCCGAGCCCACGGGTCTGTGCGGATGGTAGGGATGCCGACCCTACCGAGGAGGAGATGGCAGAAACGGAGAGAAACGAGGAGGAGCTGTTCGAATGCCAGGAACTGCTCGAGTGCCAGGTGCAGGTGGGGGCCCCCCAGGAGGAGGAGGAGGACGAGGGCCTAGTGGCCGAGGCCGAGGCCGTGGCTGCCGGCTGGATGCTCGATTTCCTCTGCCTCTCTCTTTGCTGAGCTTTCCGCGATGGCCGCTCGGAGGACTTCCGCAGGACCCGCAACAGCGCAGAGGCTATTATTCATGGACTATCCAGTCTAACAGCTTACCAGTTGAGAACGATATACATATGTCAGTTTTTGACAAGAATTGCAGCAGGAAAAACCCTTGATGCACAATTTGAAAATGATGAACGAATTACACCCTTGGAATCAGCCCTGATGATTTGGGGTTCAATTGAAAAGGAACATGACAAACTTCATGAAGAAATACAGAATTTAATTAAAATTCAGGCTATAGCTGTATGGAAAATGGCAACTTTAAAGAAGCAGAAGAAGTCTTTGAAAGAATATTTGGTGATCCAAATTCTTATATGCCTTTGAAAAGCAAATTGCTTATGATAATCTCTCAGAAAGATACATTTCATTCCTTTTTTCAACACTTCAGCTGCAACCACATGATGGAGAAAATTAAGAGTTATGTGAATTATGTGCTAAGTGAAAAATCATCAACCTTTCTAATGAAGGCAGTGGCAAAAGTAGTAGAAAGCAAAAGGACAAGAACACTAACTTCTCAAGATAAACCTAATGGTAATGATGTTGAAATGGAAACTGAAGCTAATTTGGATACAAGAAAAATTGTTAGTGACAAACAGTCTGCGGTAACTGAATCCTCAGAGGGTACAGTATCCTTATTGAGGTCTCACAAGAATCTTTTCTTATCTAAGATGCAACATGGAGCCGAGCAACAAGACCTTAATAAGAAAGAAAGAAGAATAGGAATTCTTCAAAGTACAAAAAAGAATAAAGAAAGCAGAAAAGCCACTGAAAGCAGAATACCTGTTTCAAAGAGTCAACCGGTAACTCCTGAAAAACATCGAGCTAGAAAAAGACAGGCATGGCTTTGGGAAGAAGACAAGAATTTGAGATCTGGCATGAGGAAATATGGAGAGGGAAACTGGTCTAAAATACTGTTGCATTATAAATTCAACAACCGGACAAGTGTCATGTTAAAAGACAGATGGAGGACCATGAAGAAAGTAAAACTGATTTGCTCAGACAGCAAAGGCTGATTGTGTTTGTAAAAGCTTGATGAAAGGACAGTTAAGTATTTTGATCACTGCATTTTGTTTGAAACTTGTGTCATTGATGTAATTTAAGACTTTTGTTTAAAGCATTACAGTATTTTTCTGTGACCATCAATTAATATGAGGGTTTGTGCTATAAGTATTAAAGCATATGCTATCATTGTACTCTTTAAGAACCTTATTTTGATAAAATGTAAATTTGTTGAACCCTGCCACATTTAGTATCCCCACCCCCAAATCCTGTTCCAATGAAAAAATTAAAACCTGATACGAAAAAAAAAAAACCAAATTCAGTTAACCTATTTTGTGTCTGTAGGTTGACCTCAACCCTGTAACGTAACCCATTAAAATGAATTTTCTTTTTTTTTAAGACAGAGCTTCTCTCTGTTGCCCAGGCTGGAGTGCAATGGCACAATTTCAGCTCACTGCAACCTCTGCCTCCCGGGTTCAAGCGATTCTCCTGCCTCAGCCTCCTGAGTAGCTGGGATTACAGGCAGACACCATCACGCCCAGCTAATTTTTGTATTTTTAGTAGAGGTGGGGTTTCACCATGCTGGTCAGGATGGTCTCCAACTCCTGACTTCATGATCCACCCACCTTGGCCTCCCAAAGTGCTGAGATTACAGATGTGAGCCACTGCGTCCTGCCTAAAATGAATTTTCCAGATGATTGAATAACAGAAGTCCTTTGATAGGAGATAAGGACTTGGTTTGTGGCCTTAATATACTACTTAATTACTTAAGATGTTTATTAATAGAATGATAAATGTACAGAGTAACCTATAAGCATGACGTACTTTTGCTTTCAGTAGTTTCATGTAAAGAAAAAAACTTGAAAATAATAATACCTGAGGACCCATGGGAATAATAGACACTGGGGAGGTAGGGTGGGGAGCGGGAGAAAGACCTGAAAAACTACCTACTGGGGACTCTGCTCACTACCTTGGTGACAGGATCATCCGTACCCCAAACCTCAACATCAAACAGTATACCCAGCTAACAAACCTGCCCATGTGTTCCCTGAATCAAAAATTAAAATCAAAATAATTTTTTTAAAAAAGAAAAAGACAATAGTATTACCCATGGGACAAAATTTGTACTATTAGCAAGAATCATTTTGTGTCTCATTTAGAAACAATTTGACTTTTGTTCCAGTGTTTAAACTTTGACAAAAATGGTTTTGAATAGATCTTTATAACCTGATGCCATAAATACAAGATTCTCTGATACCTTCATTTAATATATCAATATTGGGCCTAAAACAGTATTCTGTAAAGCTTAAATTGGTATTAACTATGATCATCTTGATGTCTATGATAGATAATAAACAAGGTCATACATACCTTACTAAACAAAACAAAAAAAAAGAAATACAAAGATTTCTATGAGAAGAGTACCATAAGGAAATTTCAAAATGTAGCTCAAGTAGTTAAATGATTTGAAATAATGGATTGAGTTATTTAAGAATGATTACATAAATGGTATTGAACACCTACCAAGTTTTAAAAAAATATTTTAAGTAGGTTTCTCTTTCTAGTATTAACTGGTCAACAGTTTCAAGGATACTTAAGACTGTTTCTAATAGAGGAAATATAACTTGTTTTCTGTACAAAGTTGTTGAGGTAAAGAATGAAAATAAAGTATGCTAAGATGCAACCTTGGTTCACACTGGAATTCTCCTTCTATCTAAGCTTACTATACTCACAGTATTGTAAAACAATTCTGAAGAGGAATAGCCTACAAACTATTTTGAGGTTGTACAATTTGACCCATACATTTGTTCTGAAAATAAGGTAATAATAGATTGACCAGTGACAAGCACAATCTGATTTTTAGAAATATTAGTGATGATTTATGCACTCATTATGTACCAGGCTGTGTGCTCAGCATTTTAAAACATATTATCTAATTTAATCCCTCTATAAATTCTATGAGGAGAGAATAAAATTATTATTATATCATTTTGCATATGAGGAAGTTTAGGTACCAAAGATGATGTTAAGTAACAGTCAAATCACTTTCTAGTAAGACAGTGCCAGGACATAAGCAAGGTTAGTCTGTGTTATTTGGTTGTTTTCATGCTGCTAATAAAGACATACCTGAGACTGGGTAATTTATAAAGCAAAGAGGTTTAATGACTTCACAGTCCCACATGGCTGGGGAGGCCTCAAAATCATGGTGGAAGTCAAAGGAGAAGCAAAACTACATCTTACATGGTGGCAGGTAAAAGAGACTGTGTGCAGGGGAACTCTTTTTTATAAAACCATCTGATATCTTGAGACTTATTCACTATCATGAGAACAGCCTGGGGAAGACTCACCCCCATGATTCAGTTACCTCCCACCAGGTCCTTTGATGGACACATGGGAATTGTGGGAGCTACAATTCAAGATGAGATTTGGGTGGGAACACAGCCAAACCAACCATATCATTCCACGTCTGGCACTTCCCAAATTTCATGTCCTCATATTTCACAATCAGTCATGCCTTCCCAACAGTCCCTCAAAGACTTAACTCATTTCAGCATTAACTCAAAAGTCTACAGTCCAAAGTCTCATCTGAGAGGAGGCACAAGTTTCTTGTGTGAGATAGTAGTTTTTAAAATTTAGTCTTATATTTTTATGAAAACTGGTGTGAGACTTTTAAAGAAAATCCTGTAAGACTTAAGACTTAGTGGTCCTCAGTGTTTGAGTGAAAGAAAAAGCCTCTTTAAAAATTAGGTAGGACATGATGGTTCCAGCTTCATCCATGTCCCTACAAAGGACATGAACTCATCCTCAGCAAACTATCGCGAGAACAAAAAACCAAACACCGCATGTTCTCACTCATAGGTGAGAATTGAACAATGAGAGCACTTGGACACAGGAACGGGAATATCACACACGGGGGCTTGTCGTGGGGTAGGAGGAGGGGGGAGGGAAAGCATTAGGAGATATACCTAATGTAAACGACGAGTTAATTGGTGCAGCACACCTACATGGCACATGTATACATATGTAACAAACCTGCACGTTGTGCACATTTACCCTAGAATTTAAAGTATAATAAAAAAATAAAAAATAAAAATTAGGTAGGACATCAGAAAAATATCTAAAAAGTTCCAGGTCCTTAATGCTACACAGAAACACCAAAAAGCAACTAGAGACTTGTTAAAATAGTATTACAGAAAGTCAGGAAGAAAGTCACACATCTAGACCTAACAAATGAATGCTCAGTCATGAAACAGTGACATTTAAAACTGTAACATTTTCATTGTAGTTTTATTTGCACTTGCCCTATCTGCCACCACTATAGCACGGTCTTGGTTTGGAGGAGGCAGGAGCCCATTTCCACATTTACACCCATGATCCTGAAAGATCACAGCAGAACTTATTTTCAAAGTTCTAACCCTGTCTGGGGCTGACTGAAGAACCGACATCTGTTTTGCATAACTCAGAGGTCATGAGAGAAAAGTGTGTTGTAACTGACTGCAAGAAAAAAATTATTGTTCAATATCCCTAATTAACATAGTTGCAAAAATTTTAGACAAAATACTAGCAAACTAAATGTTGCAACACATTAAAAAGATCACAACCATGACCAAATAGGATTTATCCCTATGATATGAGGATGGTTCAATCTAAATAAATCAATAAATGTGATGTACTACACTAACAGAATGAAGGAAAAAATTATATGTCCATCTCAATAGATGTAGAAAAAGGATTTCATGAAATTCACCTTTTTTATGATTAAAAAGAAACCTCTCAACAAATTAGGTATAGAATTAATGCACTTCACCATAATAAAGACCAAATATGACAAGCTCACAACTAACATTATGCTCAGTGTTGAAAAGCTTTAAACATTTTTCTCTAAGACTAGGAACAAAACAAGAATTCTCACTGTCTCCACTTCTATTTTCAACAGAGTTCTTGAGGTCCTATCTAGAGCAGTAAGGCAAGAAAAAAAATAAATGAAAGGCATATATATTGGAAATGAAGAAGTAAAAGTATCTCCATTTGAAGATAACATAATATTTTAAAAACGTAACTATATGAGTTGATTGATGTGTTAATCAACTTGATTGTAATTATTACTTTACAATGGATATGTATATCAAAACATCAGGTGCACACCTTAGATATATAATTTTTTTTGTTTCTAAATATACCTCAATAAAGGTGGAAAAACACATGAAAACAAACACTATAAGAAATATTTTTTTAATTAACAAAACAAAAAGGAGGGTAGTAATTCGGGAAATGATAAATGAAAAAGCTATGAACACACAGCAAACAAATTTTAAAATGGCAAAAATAAGTCATTTTCTATCATTAATTACTCTCTATGTAAATAGGTTAAAGTTCCCAAACAAAATACATAAATTGACTGAATGGATGGAAAAGGGCATTCAAATGCGTGCTATCCACAAGTGACTTACTTTAGATTTAAGGACACAAATAAGTCGAAAGTAAAAGGAAGGAAGTAGATATTCCATGCAAATATTAAAGAAAAAAGAGGTGAAATGTAGATACTCATAAGAGAAAATAATGGACTTTAAGTAACAATATACTACAAGAGAAAATGGCATTATATATTAATAAAAATGTCAACTTTCCAAGAATATATAACAGTCTAAGCAGATGTGCATCAAACATAAGAACTCCCAAATATATCAAGAATACACTGACATAACTGAAGGAAAAAATAAGTGGCTCTACAGTCATGGTAGACATGTCATTACTCTGCGTTCAATAATGGATGAGATAATTAACCAGAAGTTCAATAAGAAAACAGAGAACTTGAACAGCACTACAAACCAATTAAATTAGATGAGATGATATCTCATTGTAGTTTTGATTTGCATTTCTCTGATGATCAGTGGTGTTGAGCACCTTTTCATATTGTCTGCCATTTGTATACCTCCTTTTGAGAAATGTCTATTCAAATTTTTTAACCCTCTTTTGATAGGATTATTAGATTTTTTTCTGTAGATTTGTGTAAGCACTTTATATATCTTTGTTATTAATCCCTTGTCAGATGGGTAGTTTGAAAATATTCTCTCCCGTTTTGTAGGTTGCAGCTTCAAATTGTTGATTGTATTCTTTGGTATGCAGAAGGTTTTTAACTTGATGTGATCCCATTTTTCCATTTTTGCTTTGGTTGCCTGTGCTTGTGAGATATTGCTCAATAAATTTTTGCCCAGATCAATGTCCTTGAGGTTTTCCCCAAAGTTTCCTTGTAGCAGTTTTAGGGTTTGAAATCTTGGATTTCAGTTTTTAATTAATTTTGATTTGATTTTTGTATATGGTGAGAGATAGGGGTCTAGTTTTATTCTTAAGCATATGGATATCCAGCTTTTTCAGCACCATTTCTTGAAGAGACTGTCTTTTCCCCAGGGTACTTTCTTAGAACTTTTGTCACAAATAGGTTTTCTGCAGGTGTGTGGATTTATTTCTGTGTTTTCTATTCTGATCCATTTGTATGTGTGTCTGTTTCCATGCCAGTACCTTGCTGTTTTGGTTACTATACCTTCATAGTATAATTTGAAGTCAGGCAATGTAATTCCTCCAATTTTGTTCTTTTTGCTTAGGATAGCTTTGTCTAGTTTCTCTTTTGTGGTTCCATGTAAATTTAGAATTTTCTCTATTTCTGTGAAGAATGTCATTGGTATATTGATAGGGATTGCATTGAATTTATACATTTCTTTGGGTATCACGGACATTTTAACAATACTGATTTATTTCCACTTCATGAACATGAAATATCTTTTCATCTTTCAGTTCTCTTCTGTGTTTTATGGTTTTCATTAGGGAGATCTTTACTTCTTTGGTTAGGTTAACTCCTAGGTATTTAATTTTATGTGTGGCTATTATAAATAAATTTTTAAAAAAATTTACATTCCACATTGTACACTGTTGGCATATAGACATGCTACTGATTTTTGTATGTTGATACTGGCATATTGATTTTGTATCCTGAAACTTCTTTTATCAGTTCTAATAGTTTTCTTGTAGAATCTTTAGGTTTTTCCAAATATAAGATTATATTATCCGTAAACAAGGATAATTTGACTTCTTCCTTTCCAATTTGGATGTCATTTATATCTTTATCTTGTCTAATTGCTCTAGCTAGGACTTCCAGTACTATGTTGAATAACAGCGGTGAAACTGGGCATCCTTGTTGTGTTCCAGATCTTAGAGAAAAGGGTTTCAGGTTTGTTCCATTCGGTAAATACTAGCTGTGGGTCTGTCACATGTGACTTTTATTAGGCTAATGTATGTTTCTTCTATACCCAGTTTTTTGGAGGTTTTTATCGTGAAAGGATGTTGAATTTTATCAAGTGCTTTTTCAGCATCAATTGAAATGATTATTTGGTTTTTATCATTTGTTCTCTCGATATGATACATCACATTGATTGATTTGCATATGTTAAATCATTTTTACATCACAGGGATAAATCCCACTTGATCATAATGAGTAATCTTTCCAATGCATTGTCAAATTCAGTTTGCTAGTATTTTGTTGAAATTTTTGTATCAATATTCATCAGAGATATTGGCCTGCAGTTTTTTTTTAATGTGTCCTTGTCTGCCTTGAGTATCAGGATAATACAGGCCTCATAGAATGAGTTTGGAAGTATTACTTCCTCTTCTATGTTTTTGGAGTAGTTTGAGTAGGATTGGTATTAGTTGTTCTTTAAATGTTTGGTAGAATTCAACAGTGAAGCCATCAGGTCCCGGGCTTCCCTTTAGTGAGAGAATGTTTACTGCAGCTTTGATCTTGTTACTTGTTATTGATCTGTTCAGGTTTTATATTTCTTCATGGTTCAATCTTGGTAAGTTGTATGCATCTAGGAATTTTTCCATTTCTTCTAGATTTTCCAATATGTTGGTGTGTAGTTGCTCATTGTAGAAACTAATGATTCTTTGAATTTCTGTGGTATCAGTTGCAATGTCACCATTTTCATTTCTGACTTTATCTATTTGGATCTTCTCTGTTTTTCTTAGTCTGGTGAAAGGTTTGTCAATTTTGTTTAACTATTTTACAAACCAACTTTTCATTTTGTTGACACTTTGTATTGTTCTGTTTCAACTTTATTTATTTATGCTCTATTCTTTAATATTTATTTTCTTCTACTAATTTTGGGTTTGGTTTTCTCTTGCTTTTTTAATTCTTTAAGATGCGTGATTCTTTATTTGAAGATTTTCATCTTATGTGATGTATGCACTTACATCTGTAAACTTCCTTGTTAGTGCTGCTTTTGCTGTATTCCATTGGTTGTGGTATGCTCTGTTTTATTATCATTTGTTTCAATAATTTTTTCAATTTTTTCCTTAATTTCTTCATTGACCCACTGGTCATTCTGGAGTATATTATTTAATTTTCATGTATTTTTATAGTTTCCAAAAATGCCTCTTGGCATTAATTTCTAGTTTTATTCCATATTTTTTATTTTATTCCAAGAATATGCTTGATATTATTTCCATGTTTGTAATATTTTAAGACTTCTTTTGTGACTTAACGTAGTGTCTATGTTTGAGAATGATCCATGTACTGAGGAAAAGAATGTGTATTCTGCAGCTCTTGGATGAAATGATCTGTTAATATTTATTAGATTTATTTGGTCTATGGTGCAGATTAAGTCTACAGTTTCTTTGTTGATTTTCTGTCTGAAAGATATGTCCAATGCTGAAAGTGGTGTGTTGAAATCTTCAGCTATTTTTGTACTGGGGCTTACCTCTCTCTTTAGCTTTAATAATATTTGCTTTATATATCTGGGTGCTCCAGTGTTGGGTACATAGATGTTTCAAATTGTTATATCCTCTTGCTGAATTGACCTCTTTATCATTATATAGTGATCTTCTTTGTCTCTTATAGTTTTTGTCTTGAAATCTATTTTATCTGATATAAGTATAGCAACTTCTGCCCTTTTTTGGTTTCTATTTGCATGAGATAACTTTTTCCATCTCTTTATTTTCAGTCTATGTGTTTCTTTATATGTGAAGTGTGTTTCTCATAAGTAACAGATAAATGGGTCTCCTTTCTTCATCCAGCCAGTCTACGTCTCTTGATTGGAGTTTATAGTACATTTACGTTCTACGTTATTATTGATCGGTAAGGACTTACTCCTGCTATTTTGTTATTTGTTTTGGGGATGTTTTGTGGTCTTCTCTTCCTTCTCTCTTTATTCCTGTCTTTCTCTACTAAAGGTAATTCTCTCTTTTGGTATGATTTAGTTTCTTTCTTCTTGTTTTTTGTGTATCCATTGTATGCTTTTTCATTTGTGGTTACCATGAGGCTGGCAAATATCTTATAGCCTTTTGTTTTAACCTGATATAACCTGATAACAAATAAACAATATTTGCATAAACAAACAAAAAACTAATTTAAAAAACTCTCCTTAACTTCGTCCTCCTGCTTTTTAACATTTGGCTGTTTCTGTTTATATTTTATTGTACTTACTATGTTTCCAAAATTTGTTGTAGTTATTATATTTGATTGGTTCATCATTTAGTTTTTTATTTAAAATAAGGATAGTTTACACACTACAGTTATGGCGTTATAATATTCTGTGTTTTTCTGTGTTTGTACTATTACCAGTAAGTTTTGTATATTCACGTGATCATTTCTTGCTCATTAATATTCTCTTCTATGATTGAAGTATTTCCTTTAGCATTTCCTGTAGGATGGGTCTGGTACTAATGAAATCTCTTAACCTTTATTTGTCTGTGAAGTCTTTATCCTTCACGTTTGAAAGATATTTTCACCAGATATACTATTCTAGGGTAAAAGTTTTTCCTTCAGCACTTTAAATATTTCAGGTCACTCTCTCCTGGCCTGTAAAGTTTCCACTGAAAAGTCTTCTGCCAGAAATATTGGAGCTCCATTGTATGTTATTTGTTCATTTTCTTTTGCTGCTTTTATAATTCTTTATTTTATACCTTTGGGAGTTTGATTATTAAATGCCTTGAATTAATTTCATTTGGGTTAAATCTGCTTGGTGTTATATAATCTTCATGTACTTAGATATTGATATCTTTCTCTAGATTTGGAAAGTTTTCTGTTATTATCCCTTTGAATACACTTCCTACCCCTATATTTTCCTCTATCTCCTTTTTAGAGGCCAATAACTCTTAGATTTGCCCTTTTGAAACTATTTTTTAGATTCTATAGGCATGCTTTATTACTTTTATATCTTTTTATTTTGTCTCCTCTGACTGTGTATTTTTAAATAGCCTGTCTTCAAGCTCACTAATTCTTTCTTCTGCTTGATTTATTCTGCTGTGAAATGGCTCTGATGCATTCTTCCGTATGCTAATTGCATTTTTCTGGTCCAAAATTTCTGCCTGATTCTTTTTAATTATTTCGATCTCTTTGTTAAATTTATCTGATAGGATTCTGAAATTCTTCTATCTGTTATCTTGAATTCTTTGAGTTTCCTAAACACAGCTATGTTGACTTCTGTGTCCAAAAGGTCACATAACTCTGTTTCTCCACGATTGGTCTCTCATGCCTTATTTATTTCATTTGTTGAAGTAATGTTTTCCATGATGGTGATCATGCTAGTAGATGTTCTTCGGTGTCTGCACATTGAATAATTAATTAGATATTTATTGTTGTCTTCACTGGCTGGGCTTCTTTATAGTCATCCTTCTTTGTAAGGTTTTCCAGATTTTGAATGAACTTGGATGTTGTTATCTAAGCTGTATCTGCTTTAGGGGCCACCCCAAGCTCAGTAACACTATGGTTCTTGCAGTCTCATAGAGGTACTATTTTCATGGCCTTGATCAAGATCTGTGAATATTCTCTGGATTACCAGGCAGACTCTTGTTCTCTTCTTTTACTTTATCCCAAACATACAGAGTCGCTCTCTCTCTCTCTCTCTCTCTCTCTCTCTCTCTCTCTCTCTCGCTCTCTCTCTCTTTCTCCACCTAAATCTGGGGATAGAGTTACACAAGCAACCATGAGGATATGACTGTTATGATTGCACTGGGTTAGACCTGAGGCAATCACAGCAATGGGTCTCTTCCAAAGCCTGCTATAGCCACTACCTAGCTACTGACTATGTCTGCTCAAAGGCCTAGCCTTTTTTTTTCAGGGTGACAAGGACCCCCAGGCCCTGGTTGGCTCCAGAAATACCATCCAGGAGCCAGGTACTAGAGTCAAAACCCTTAAAAGTCTGTTTGATATTCTATTGTATTGTGGCTAAGTGGCACTGAAACCACAAGATGTAATTATTTCCACACTTTCTCCTTCTTTCTAAAGGCAGAGGAACCTCCCCCAATAGCTACTGCCATGCCTGGCCATGAGGAGTACTTTCAGACTACCACCAGTGTTCCCTTAAAGTCCAAGGTCTCTTAAGTCAGCTTGTGTTAAATGCTGCATGGACGGGGACTCATCCTTTAGAATAGGTCTGGCCCAGCACACAGGTCCAGAAATGCTAAGGGTGAAGTTTTGGAATCAGGAACCCCAAGAAGCCACTTGGTGCTCTACCCTACTGTGGCAGTGTTGATACCTAAAATCAGCAAGTCTCAGAGGCTCAGAGAGGCCTTTCATGTAGTACCCGAGTATCACTGATGATTATTCAGGGCCCAAGGACTCTTCAATCAGCAGGTGATGGATGCCAGAAAATCTGGGTCATTTCTTTCAAGGCAGTAGATGCCTTTCTAACCTAGGGTGTGTCTAGAAATATGGTCTTGGAGGTAGCCCTGAAACAAGGGCCTCAGAACTCTGACTGGTGCCTTATTCTGCTGTAGCCAAGCTGGTATTCAGCATGTAAGACAAAGCCCTCCCCATTATTACTTCTCTTCTCCTCAAACAGAAGGAAGGTACATTAGTTGGTTCTTGTATTACTATAAAGAAATACCAGACACTTGGTTATTTATTTTTTACCATCTCACACCAGTTAGAATTGCAATCATTAAAAAGTCAGGAAACAACAGGTGCTGGAGAGGATGTGGAGAAATAGGAACACTTTTACATTGTTGGTGGGACTGTAAACCAGTTCAACCATTGTGGAAGTCAGTGTGATGATTCCTCAGGGATCTAGAACTAGAAATACCATTTGACCCAGCCATCCCATTACTGGGTATATACCCAAAGGATTATAAATCATGCTGCTATAAAGACACATGCACACGTATGTTTATTGCAGCACTATTCACAATAGCAAAGACTTGGAACCAACCCAAATGTCCAACAATGATAGACTGGATTAAGAAAATGTGGCACATATACACCATGGAATACTATGCAGCCATAAAAAAGGATGAGTTCATGTCCTTTGTAGGGACATGGGTGAAGCTGGAAACCATCATTCTCAGCAAACTATCACAAGGACAAAAAACCAAACACCACGTGTTCTCACTCATAGAGGGGAATTGAACAATGAGAACACATGGACATAGGAAGGGGAACATCACACACCGGGGCCTGTTGTGGGGTCGGGGGAAGAGGGAGGGATAGCATTAGGAGATATACCTAATGTTAAATAATGAGTTAATGGGTGCAGCACACCAACATGGCACATGTATACGTATGTAACTAACCTACATGTTGTGCACATGTACCCTAAAACTTAAAGTATAATAAAATAAATAAATAAATAAGAGGAAAAAAAGTTTTAATTGGCTTATGTTTCCATAGGCTATACAGATGGCATGGCAGGATCTGCTTCCGGGGAGTCATTAGGGAGCTATTACTCATGGTGTAAAGCAAAGTGAAAGCAGGTGTCTTACATGGCAGGAGCAGGACCAAGTAAGAGAGAGGAGGAAGGTGTCACACACTTTTAAACAACTAGATATTGTGAAAACTCCATCATGAGAACAGCATTATGGGGATGGTGCTAAACCGTGAGAAAATGCCCCCATGCTCCCATCCCCTCCCACCAGGCCCCACCTCCAACACTGAAAATTACAAATCAATGTGAAATTTCGATGGGGACACAGATCCAAACCATATCAAAAGGAGTCTCTTTGGGAGCAGTGAGCTGTGCCATCTGGGATTAGGGGAGGGCTGATGCCAGCATTCCCCTGGCTGACCCAGCTGATGTCTCTGGTATGTCACATGCCCACCCAGTCCACTATCTCTGGGCCTAGTTCAACTCTAGGACTCGCCTAAGAGTTACAGTTCTTATGGCCTAGACTGCCTTTCAAGTTTACTTAGAGACACAGAATGCTGTATCTCTTCATGGCAAGGTTTGTAGGCACTCAATTTCTGACGCTGAGATCGGGGATTCCCCTCTGGTTAGGGCTGGTTTAAATTCTCCCTTTGTGAGAGGGTGTCATATGAGTTTGATCCGGTTTTTCTTTCTGCTATAACACTACATCACTGAATTCAATGTCTCATAATTTTTGTGTTCTTCTTCCCCCAGCGTCCAGAGAATCTCTCTGCATCACAACATGGCTATGGGGTGAGGCAGGGGTGGCACTGGCAATTCTAGACGGTATTTTTTATGTCTTCAGTGCCTCTTTCAGTGATATGAAGTTAACACTAGGTACTATAAGTGATCACCTGACTTTTTGCTCTTATAAAGGTTTTGTTTTCTTTTGTTTGAACCTGTGTAAATAGTTTTTTAACTTGGTGTCCTTGCAGAGGGTATGAATGTCAGAGCTTTCTATTCTGCCCTCTGCTCTGCCTCCTAATTCATTTTCAGAATTTATTCACTGATTCCTACTCTGCATACCAACTTGGCTCTATTTAATAGCTCTACTAGGCATAGTAGTAACACACTATACTTTAAACTATTCATTAAAATACCGAGTATTTAAAGATTAAAATTATACAAAGTGTCTTATTTGATCAATATGGAATGAAAACAGAAGCCAACTACAGAAGAATAATTGGAAAACTCATAAATATATAAAAGTTAAACAACATATTTATGCAGCAAACGTATCAAGAAAAAAATTAAAAGATTAGGTAACACTTTGAGACTATTGAAAATAAAGATGTAACACAATGAAACATGGGATATGACAAAAGCAGTGCCAAAAAGAAAATTCACAACTGTAAACACATTAAAAAAGAAGAATGCTCTCAAATAATAATTCAACTTAGACGAAAAAGTAAAAATTATAAACTAAACTCAAAATTAGTAGAATAAATAGCAATAATAACAATTGGAGCAGGAATAGAGAGACATTTTAAAAAGAATAGAGAAAGTCAGCAAAATCGAAAGTTGATTCTTTTAAATAATCAACACAATTGACAAAATTTTAGCTAGACTGACTAAGAGAAAAAGAGAATATTCAAATAACTAAAATTATACATAATCAGGGACTGTTACTACCAAGCTTAGAGACATAAAAACAAGATTATAAGATAGTATTATGAATAATTATACATTAACAAATAGGATAACTCATAAGATATTGACAAGTTCTTAGAATCCAACAACCTACCAGCACTTAGTTTCAAAGAAATAAGAAATATAAACAGGCAGAGACTGATAAAACCATCTAGAATCAGACAGCTTCACTGGTAAATTTCACTAAACTTTAAAAAATAATTAACATAAAATATTTTTAAACTCTTAAGAAGTTGAAGATGATGGAAATTTTCCAATTCATTACATGAGATCAGAATTACCCCAGTTTCAAAACCAAACAGACACTATAAGAAAAGAAAATTGATCAAGTGAGATTTATCCCTGGGATGTAAGGATGGCCCACCATGTGCACATCAATCAATGTGACGTATTGTATCAAGTGGGATTTATCCCTGGGATGTAACGATGGCTCACCATGTGCATATCAATCAATGTGATGTATCGTATCAACAGAATGAAGGATAAAAAAATATGATTATTTCAATTGATATTGAAAAAGCATTCAATAAAATTCAGCACCTCTTTAGGATAAAAGCCCTCAAAATACTGGGGATAGAAGGAACATACATCAACATAATAAAAGCCATATATGACAGGCTCACAGCTATTATCATATACTGAATGGGGAAAATTTGAAAGCCTTTTCCCTAAGATCGAAAACACAAGGATGGCCACTTTCACCACTGTTATTCAACATAATACTGGAAGTCCCAGCTAGAACAATCAGACAAGAGAAAGAGATAACAGGCATCCAAATGGAAGAGAAGGAAGCCAAATTATCCTTGTTTGCAGATAATACGATCTTATATTTAGAAAAACCTAAAGATTCCACACACAAAAAAACTATTAGAATTGATAAATTCAGTAAAGTTGCAGAATCCAAAATCAAATTCTAAAGATCACTAGCATTTCTATATGCAAATAGTGAACAATTTGATAAATAAATTTTTTAAAGTAATCTTATTTAAAATAGGCACAAATAAAATTAAATACCTAGGAATTAACCAAAGAAGTAAAAGAACTATATAATGAAAACTATAAAACACTGATGAAAGAAATTAAAGAGGATACCAAAAAATGGAAAGATATTTTGTGTTCATGGATTGGAAGAATCAATATTGTTTAAATGTCCATACAAACTAGTGCAATCCACAGATTCAACCCAATCTTTTTCAAAATACCAATGACATTCTTCACAGAAGTAAGAAAAAAATAACTATCTTAAAATTTATATGGAACCACAAAAGAACCTGAATACCCAAAGCTATCCTAAGGAAAAAACAAACAAACAAACAAAAAATGTAAGAATAACATTACCTAACTTCAAATTACACTACAGGGCTATAGTAACCAAAACAGCATGGTACTGGCATAAAAACAGACACATAGACCAATGAAACAGCATAGACAACCCGGAAACAAATCCACACACCTACAGTGAACTCATTTGTGACAAAGTTGCCAACAACATAAACTGTGGTAATACAGTCTCATCAATGAATGGTGCTGGGAAAACATTTACTCTTAAATAATTATAAAGCTTGATAAGACTTAGTGCTGCTCTTAATACAGACTCTATGCAATTTTCATGACAAAGAAAATATTTGAATATTCTTTAGTTATTGGTGCCTTTTGTGTCTTACCTTACTAAAAATATCACCGCTCAAATTCCTCTTGCCCTAAATTATCTTTGTATCTCGACTTAATGTCTCCCTCTGTTTCTTTCTTTCTCTGAAGAAAAAAATTATCTTCTCTTACCATGGCTAACAGCCATAAATCTCTAACCTCACTCACTTTTAAACTCATTCATTCATATTTTCATTCATTCAGCAAGCATTTATGAGACTCTACCATGTACCAGGCACTATAATAGATATTGAATATAAAACATTGAGCATAAGGATACAGTCATTGCCCTCTTTTTTATATAAAAATATGTTTGAATATCTTCAGACTCTTCTTCTGCCGACAGGCTGTAATACCAACTTCCTAACTTTTCAATAAAGCTTTTCATAATATAACTTCTGTATACTTTTCAACCCTCTATTTGTGCTACCTTATTTCTCACTACCTATACGCTAACTACATTAAAATTCTTACCTTTTCTTGACACTAAACAGCATTAGGTGATGCTACTTAAGATTCTATAGGAATAAGTTATATGACTATCTGAGGAGGACAGCCAAACAGATTTCCAGTTGAGATTGTGTCATCTGGTGGCCAATGTTCATCAAGTGTATCCTTTTATCATTTCTTGTTTCACTAGAGATTGAAATGGAAGTCCAAGATCTTGCAAAATGATGTTTTGGGCATACAGAAATTTAATAACTTACTCTGTGTGTGTGTGTGTGTTTGAATTCTGCAATAGTGAAATAAGTTGAAAAGTTGTGCTATCTTTATCATGTGTAAAACAGAGTTACTCTTTCAGAAATAAAATATGTATTGTCTAGGGGTCAGAAAATATACACATATATGATGAAAGGTAGATATATTGATACAGGTGTGGAGAGCTTTAAATAGCCTAAAATCAGGTAATGATAAACAATGTTATAATGGTACTTATTTAAGAAAGTAAAATAAAGTGAATGAGACATTTGTGTGTTTAATACATAAATATGGTCACCCAAAAATCTATATTTTAGGCCACATACTTCTACTTCTCCTAGAAAAAAAACAATGTGAACACCTTGTCCAGGATACTGGGGATTGACTTACCCTACCTAACCTACTTTAAAGCCATGCACAACATCCAGGGGCCTTAACACAGGCTTATCCCACCCACTGCCACCACTGACAAACCTGTGCATGTTTCCTGGGGCTTAGTGATTGACTCGTCCCACCTACAACTACTGGCACTCCTTAAAGCCTCTGAGAGATTGAGGATGTGCCCACTCTACCCACTGCTGCTTCCTGTGCATGCTATCTGGGAAAGTGCTTTCTCCATTAACTGACCTCACTCACTCAACCACCACCAGTTCATGTGCTCATCTTTCAAGGGCAAAATGACAAGCTCACCTTGACTGAAACCACCTTCACTGTGTATCTCAGTAAGGCCTAGAGGTCAGCCCACCATGTCTGCTAGTGTCTGTATGTGCCACTAAGAGGCTTGAAGGTTGGCCTGGCACTACTACTATGAACACTTATGCCATGCACAAAAGCCAAGCCCAAAGGGTTGACATACTTGGAACACCGCCATCACTACTGTTGTCTGAGAACTGGCCAAACTGGTGGCCTCATACTCACCTAAACCTTCACACAGCCTCCACTAATAAGCAAGCGTAACCTAAGCTACTCAGAACTCTTAGACACCAGAGATGTTGATCACACAGGAAGACATCATACAGAGACTACATTACTATACCCACCTAGAATCAAAGCCAAAGCACCTTACCCAAACAACACTTCAGATACATCTATAGAAAAGTGTTATCCTCTACAAAAGCAAATTCACAAAAATTGAAGAAGCAACTATTGCACCATATGTACAGATATCAAGGTAAAGACACAAGAAACACGAAAAATCAAAGAAACATGTCACATTAAAGGAAACACAATAATTATCTAGTAACAGATGTCAAAGAAAAAAATCATAAATTCCCTTAAAAGCATTCAAAATAGGCCGGGCGCGGTGGCTCACGCCTGTAATCCCAGCACTTTGGGAGGCCGAGGCGGGCGGATCACGAGGTCAGGAGATCGAGACCATCCCGGCTAAAATGGTGAAACCCCGTCTCTACTAAAAATACAAAAAATTAGCCGGGCGTAGTGGCGGGCGCCTGTAGTCCCAGCTACTTGGGAGGCTGAGGCAGGAGAATGGCGTGAACCCAGGAGGCGGAGCTTGCAGTGAGCCGAGATCCCGCCACTGCACTCCAGCCTGGGCGACAGAGCGAGACTCCGTCTCAAAAAAAAAAAAAAAAAAAAAAAAAGCATTCAAAATAATGATATTGAAGGAACGCAGTGACATACAAAGATGTCCATACAAAAAAATCAGGAAAACAACTTATGATCTGAATGAATTTTTAAAAATATATACACAGATATTATTATAAGACACAGACAGAAATCTTAAAACTCAGCAATTCCACTAATGAAGTAAAAAATGCAGGTAAGAGCTTAAATAATGGACTAAATAAAGCAAAAGAAAGAATTTCTGAATGTGAAGACAAGTTCTTTGAAATAACCCAGACAGAAAATAAATAAATAAATAATTAAATAACAAAGCATACATGGCATATGGGATATCAAAAAGCAACAAAAATTTAAATTTTTTATGGTTCCAGAAGAGATAAGAAAAATCATCTTGCAAGAGTTAGAGACATCCAGATACAAAAAAATTAAAGATTATTAATTGGATTCAACCCAAAAAGTCACCTTCAAGGCACATTATAACCTAATTGTGAAAAATCAAAGACAAAGAAAAAACTTAAAAACAACAAAAGTAAAATATCAAGTTATATAGAAGGAAACGCCAATCAGACTAACAAATTTTTCTCAGCAGAAATTGTATAGGCCAAAAGAGAATGAGATGATAGATTAGAAGTGCTGAAAGAAAACACAAAAAACTGTCAACCTAAAATACTATACCCTGCAAATCTTATTATTTAAAAAATGAAGAAGAATTAAAGTCTTTCCCAGATAAGGAAAACAGGGAATTCATTACCACTTGACTGACCCTGTAAGAAATACTTAAGGGAGTCATATAACTGAAAATCAAAGTATAATATATAGCATAATGAAATTATGCAAAACTATAAAATTCATTAGTAGAGCACATTCACAATTTAAAAAGAGAAAGAAGTCAAACATTATCAATAAATAGCACAAAGTTGTAAATGTAAACAATAAAAGGGAATTAAGGAACAAAGGACAAGCAAAATAATCAATCAGAAAATAATTAAGAAAATGACAGAAGTTCTCACCTATCAATAATAATCTTGAATGTAAACAGTTTGAATTTCCCAATTAAAATATATTGACTGACTGGATTAAACAAACATGATCCACCTTTATGCTGCCTACAGGAAATTTACTTTATTTGCCTGTAAAGACACACATAGAATGAAAGTGAAGCAATAGAAAAAGTATTCCTTGCAAATGAAAACAAAAAGCATGCAAGAGTAGCTATACTTATACCAGAAAAAAAATTGACTACAAGTCAAATACTGTAAAAAGAGACTAGAATATTACATAATGATGTAAAAGGAGACAATAATATTATATAATGACAAACAATCGATTCAGTAAGCAGATATAGCAATAGTAAATTTTTATGATCCCAATATCACAGCACTCAGATATGCAAAGCAAAAACTATTATATTTAAAATGGGAGACAAAAACCATACAGAAACCATATGCAGAGATCAAAACTATAACTCTTCTTTTCACCATATACAAAAGTCAACTCAAGATGTATTAAAGACTTGAATATAAAATCTGAAACTATAAAACGTATAGGCGAAAACCTAGTAGATATCACTCTGAACAGACCCCCTGGCAAATATTTCATGTTGAAGATGACAAAAGCAAGTAAACCAAAACCAAAAATGGACAAATGGGACCTGATTAAACTAAAGAAGCTATCAACATAGTAAACAGACAACCTACAGAAAGAAAGAAAATGTTTTCAAACTATGACTCTGACATAGATCTAATATTCACTATGTATAGGACATTTAAACAAATTAACAGGAAAAAAAACAACAACCACATTAAAATGTGGGAAAAAGATGAAGAGACACTTCTCAGAAAAATTCATATGCATGGCCAATGAGCGTGTGAAAAAATGCTCAACATCACTAATCTTCAGAGAAATGCACATCTAAACCACAATAAATACCATCTTACAAAAGTCTGAATGACTATTATTTAAAAGTAAAAAAATAACAGACTCTGGTGAGCTGCAGAGAAAAGAGATTGCTAATACACTGTTTCTGGAAATGTAAGTTGGTTCAGCCACGGTAGAAAGCAGTTTGGTGATTTTTCAAAGAACATAAAACAGAACTACCATTCAATCCAGCAATACCATTATTGTGTATATACCCAAAGGAATGTAAATTATTCTACTATATAGACACATGCAAACCTATGTTCACTGCAGCACTATTTGCAATACCAAAGACATGGAATCTCCCTAAATGCCCATCAAATGTAGACTGGATAAAGGAAATGTGGTACACATACACATTGAAATAATATGCAGCCATAAAAAAACAAGATCATGTCATTTGCAGCAACATTCTAAGTGAACTAATGCAGGAACAGAAAAAGAAATATCACATGTTCTCACTTAAGTGGGAGTTAACCTTTGTGTACATGGGGCAACCAAGCAGAGAACAATAGACACTGGACCCTACTTGAGGGTGGAGGATAAGAAGAGGGTGAAAAACTACCTGTCACATATTATGCTTATTATCTGGGTGATGAAATAATCTGTAAACCATACTCCTATGACAAGCAATTTACCAACAAAACAAATCTGCACATGTATCCCTGAACCTAAAAAAAAAAGTTTAAAACAAGGAAAGTAAAAAACAAAACAAAACACATGTTAATGGATTATCAGTTAAGTATCAACATGACCTTTTAGTGAAAAACAGACCATGTATACAACATGGTTCTATAATATAACAATAAAGTTTACTGTATCATTTTTTTCTTTTATTTTTTTAAATACATTTTTAATGAACTTTATTACAACTTGTATCACCATTGGTTACATGTTTAGACATTTTGCTTTGTCTTATATGTTCTTTAAAAAAAAGCAAAAACAGTTCTTTTAGTTTAGGACACAAATTTACCATACAAAATTTTTTTCATACAAAGTTATTGCTTTAGCTGTTATTTTTACCAAAAATACATTTATTTTATTTTATTTTAATATTATCATACTTTAAGTTTTAGGGTACATGTGCACAATGTGCAGGTTAGTTACATATGTATACATGTGCCATGCTGGTGTGTTGCACCCATTAACTCGTCATTTAGCATTAGGTATATCTCTTGAAGCTATCCCTCCCCCCTCCCCCCAACCCACAACAGTCCCCAGAGTATGATGTTCCCCTTCCTGTGTCCATGTGTTCTCATTGTTCTATTCCCACCTATGAGTGAGAATATGCGGTGTTTGGTTTTTTGTTCTTGCGATACTTTACTGAGAATGATGATTTCCAATTTCATCCATGTCCCTACAAAGGACATGAACTCATCAGTTTTTATGGCTGCATAGTATTCCATGGTGTATATGTGCCACATTTTCTTAATCCAGTCTATCATTGTTGGACATTTGGTTTGGTTCCAAGTCTTTGCTATTGTGAATAGTGCCACAATAAACATATGTGTGCATGTGTCTTTATAGCAGCATGATTTATAGTCCTTTGGGTATATACCCAGTAATGGGATGGCTGGGTCAAATGGTATTTCTAGTTCTAGATCCCTGAGGAATCGCCACACTGACTTCCACAATGGTTGAAGTAGTTTACAGTCCCACCAACAGTATAAAAGTGTTCCTATTTCTCCACATCCTCTCCAGCACCTGTTGTTTCCTGACTTTTTAATGATTGCCATTCTAACTGGTGTGAGATGGTATCTCATTGTGGTTTTGATTTGCATTTCTCTGATAGCCAGTGATGGTGCGCATTTTTTCATGTGTCTTTTGGCTGCATAAATGTCTTCTTTTGAGAAGTGTCTGTTCATGTCCTTCATCCCCTTTTTGATGGGGTTGTTTGTTTTTTTCTTGTAAATGTGTTGGAGTTCATTGTAGATTCTGGATATTAGCCCTTTGTCAGATTAGTAGTTTGCGAAAATTTTCTCCCATTTTGTAGGTTGCCTGTTCACTCTGATGGTAGTTTCTTTGGCTGTGCAGAAGCTCTTTAGTTTAATTAGATCCCATTTGTCAATTTTGTCTTTTGTTGCCATTGCTTTTGGTGATTTAGACATGAAGTCCTTGCCCATGCCTATGTCCTGAATGGTAATGCCTAGGTTTTCTTCTAGGGTTTTTATGGTTTTAGGTCTAATGTTTAAGTCTTTAATCCACCTTGAATTAATTTTTGTATAAGGTGTAAGGAAGGGATCCAGTTTCAGCTTTCAACATATGGCTAGCCAGTTTTCCCAGCACCATTTATTAAATAGGGAATCCTTTCCCCATTGCTTGTTTTTGTCAGGTTTGTCAAAGATCAGGTGTAGATATGCGGCGTTATTTCTGAGGACTCTGTTCTGTTCCATTGATCTATATCTCTGTTTTGGTACCAGTCCCATGCTGTTTTGATTACTGTAGCCTTGTAGTATAGTTTGAAGTCAGGTTGTGTGATGCCTCCAGCTTTGTTCTTTTGGCTTAGGATTGACTTGGTGATGCGGGCTCTTTTTTGGTTCCATATGAACTTTAAAGTAGTTTTTTCCAATTCTGTGAAGAAAGTCATTGGTAGCTTGATGGGGATGGCATTGAATCTGTAAATTACCTTGGGCAGTATGGCCATTTTCACGATATTGATTCCTCCTACCCATGAGCATGGAATGTTCTTCCATTTGTTTGTATCCTCTTTTATTTCATTGAGCAGTGGTTTGTAGTTCTCCTTGAAGAGGTCCTTCACGTCCCTTGTAAGTTGGATTCCTAGGTATTTTATTCTCTTTGAAGCAATTATGAATGGGAGTTCACTCATGATTTGGCTCTCTGTTTGTCTGTTATTGGTGTATAAGAATGATTGTGATTTTTGTACATTGATTTTGTATCCTGAGACTTTGCTGAAGTTGCTTATCAGCTTATTTCAATAAGTTTTTGGGGAACAGATTGTGTTCGGTTACCTGAATAAGTTCTTTAGTGGTGATTTCTGAAATTTTGGTGCACCCATCACCCAAGCAGTGCACAGTGTTAGCTCACTTTTTGATGGGATTGTTTTATTTTTTTCTTGCTGATTTGTTTGGGTTCCTTGTAGATTATGGATATTAGTCCTTTGATGGATGTATACATTGCCATTTTCTCTCACTTGTGGGTTTTCTGTTTACTATGTTGATTGTTTATTTTGCAGTGCAGAAGTTTTTAAAATTAAGTCCCATCTATTTATGTTTGTTTTTGTTGGATTTGCTTTCGCATTCTTGGTCACGAAGTCTCTGCCTAAGCCAATATTTAGAAGAATTTTTCCAATGTTATTGTCTAGAATTTTTATGGTTTCAGGTCCTAGATTTAAGTCTTTCATCTATCTTGAGTTGATTTTTGTATAAGGTGAGAGACAAGGATCCAGTTTCATGCTGGTAGATGTGGCTTCCCAATTATCTCAGTACCATTTGTTGAATAGGACATCCTTTCTCCACTTTATGTTTTTGTTAGTTTTGTCTAAGATATGTTGGCTGTAAGTAATTTGCTTTATTTCTGGGTTCTCTATCCTGTTCCATTGGTCTATGTGCTTATTTTTATACCAGTACCAGGCTGTTTTGGTAACTATGGCCTTTAGTTTTGTCTGATATAAGAATAGGTACTCCTGCTTGCTTTTGGTGTCCATTTGTATAGAATATCTTTTTCCACCCCTTTACCTTAAGTTTATGTGAGTCCTTATGTGTTAGGTTAGTCTCTTGAAGACAACAGATACTTGGTTGGTGAATTCTTATTCATTCTGCCATCCTGTATCTTCTTAGTGGAGCATTTAGGCAATTTACATTCAACGTTAGCACTGAGATGTGAGGTACTATTCTATTCACTACGCTATTTGTTGCCTGAATACCTTGTTTTATTTTTTTCCATTGTGTTGTTTTTCCAGTTTCTCTGGCAGCCCTCCCCAAGGACCCCTGTGAGACTGTGAGACAAAATCAGAAATAACTTTCCTTGGGACCGAGACTGCCCACAGGGCTCTTCCCACTGCTTCTTCTACCCCCATATTTTGCTTAGCTCTCTAAATTTGTCTCAGATCCAGGTAAGGACAAATCCTTTTCCTGTAATCTGGACCTTCAGGTTCCCCAGTGAGGGTGTTTATTTGGGGATGAACAATCCTTCTTTCACGTTTTCACACTTTGGGCACTCACAGATTTTTGGCTGTCTCCCAGAGCCTTCAGCAGCAATCAACTTCCTTCAAAGTGTCTGTGGATTCCCTTGGCTTTTCTGTTATGTTCCTGCAGTGGTTCTTGGAGCAAAAGTTCACGAGTTCATGAGTCACCCCGTGCTGCTCTGTTCATCCAGGTGGGAGCTGCAAGTTAGTCCTGCCTCTTATCCTCCATTTTTTCCTAACTACTTTATCAATTTTTGTGTTTTTATATGTTTAGACACAAACATAACATTGTGTTAAAATTTCCCACAGTATTCAGTACCATAACACTCTGTACAGGTTAGCAGCCTAGGAGCCATAGGCTATATCATATAGACTAGGTATGTAGTAGTCTATAACATCTAGGGTTATGTAAGTACACTCTATGATATTTGCCTGAAAAGATCACCTAATGATGCATTTCTCAGAATGTACACCTACCTTTAGTTATGCATCACTGTAATACAATAGCTCATCTCCCCTTTTTAAAATAAACCTTTTGAATGAAGTTTCTTTTTACTTAAACAAAGTTTTAAAATAGAATAAAATGAGAGAAAGATTCCAACACAACAATAGTTGGGAACTTCAACACCCCACTCTCAGTATTGAACAGAATATGTAGACAAATATTCAACGAAGGAACACTAGACTTAATCTGTACTATGGACCAAGTTGTCTTAACAGACATTAACAGAATATTTCACCCAACAGCCACAGAATACACATTTGTCTTATCAGCATGTGAATCATTCTCCAGAATAAACCATATCTTATGCCACAAAACAATTTTCAACAATTTTTTAAATGAAAATTATATCAACTATATTTTTAGACCACAGTAGAATAAAACTAAAAATAAATAACAGGATGAAATTAGGAAAGCATACAAATGCATGGAAATTAAACATCCTCCTAAACAATTATTGAGTCAATTAAAAAGTTAAGAAGGAAATTTAAAAATTTTGAAACAAATAAAAATGAAGACACAAAATACCAAAACTATGAGTTAGAGAATAATCAATGCTAAGAGTAAAGTTTATGTCAAAAATTGTTTCTACATGGAATAGTAAAAAGATTTTAAATAACCTAATAATGTATCTCAAGGAAATAGAAATGTAACAACAAATGAAACCCCAAATTAGTGGAAAAAAATAATAAAGATCAGACCAAAACTAAACAAAAACTAAAAACACAATACAGCAGAATAATAAAATTAAAATTGGTTATTAGAGAAGATAAATAAATTTAATAAACTTCAATATGGACTAACCAAGAAAAAAATAGGAAAGAACCAAATAAATAAAATCAGAAATGGAGAAGAAAACATGCAACTAATACCACAGAAACCTAAGGAATGATCAGAAACTGTTATTTCAAACTAGTTCAGGCACTGAGGAAAGTTATTTGGAGATTTCTCAAAGAACTTAAATTAGAACTACCATTTGACCCAGCAATCCCACAACTGGGTATATACCCAAAGTAAAATAATTCATTCTATCAAGAAGACACATGCACCATGTGTTCACCGCAATGCTATTCACAATAGCAAATACATTGAACCAACTTAAGTGCCCATGAATAGTGGATTAGATAAATACAATAACCTGCATATACATCACAGAATACTATGAAACCATAAAATAGAACAAAAACATATCCTTTGCTGTAACATGGATAGAGCTGGAGATCAATAATCTAAGCAAACTAAACAAGACCAGAAAAGCAAATACTGCATGTTCTAACTTATAAGTGGGAGCTAAACACTGAATGCACATGAATGTAAAGTTAAGAACAAGAGACACTGAAAAAAACTATATGAAGAAGGGAGAAAGGGGGTCATGGGTTGAAGAATGATCTACTGGATACTAAGCTTACTGCCTGAGTTATGGAATAATTGAGACCCAAGACCTCAGCATCATGTAATATACCCATTTACCAAACCTGCCACAGGTACCCTTTAACCTGTAATAAAAATTGAAATTATACAAAAAAGAAATATATGTTAACAAAGTAGAACACCTAGAAAAATGGACGAATTCCTGACCACATAAAACCTAGCAAGATTCTACTAAGGAGAAATAGAAAACCTAAACAGATCAATAGTGAATAAAAAATTGAATTAGCTATAAAAATTTTCCCAACAAAGAAAATCCCAGAATTAGATGGCTTTACTGATGAAATCCATAACATTTATAAACAAGATATAATACCAGTTCTTCTCAAATCGTTTCAAAACATTAAAAAGAAGAGAATTCTTCTTAACTCATTTCTATGTGACCAGCACTATTCTGAAACCAAAATCATACACACAACAACAACAACAAAAACTACAGTTTCATACACCCAATGAATGTAGATGAAAAAAATCTCAAAACTATCAGTCAAATAAAACAACACATCAAAAAGATAATACACCATTATCAACTGGGATTTATCTTAGTGATTCAAGAAGAGTTCAACATAGACAGGTAAATGTGATACTTTATATGAACAGAATAAAGGAGACAAACATATGATTATCTCAGTAGATGCAGAGAAAGCATTTGATACAATTCAACATCACTTCATGATTAAAAAGAAACTTCTAACAAATTAGGCATAGAAAAAAACAAAACTCAACATAATAAAGTTCTCAAATAATAAACTCACAGGTAACATACTGAATAGAGACAAACTGAAAGCCTTTACTCTAAGAGCTGAAGCAAGAAAGGAATGCCTACTTTCACCACTTTTATTCAACATAGTACTGGAAGTCTCAAGCAAAGTAATGAGGGAAGAGAAAGAAATCAAAGGCATTTATAATGGAAGTAAAAACAAACTGTCTCTTTTTGCAAACAAAATGATATTACATATTAAGAAAAACCTAAAGACCACCAAAAATACCTTGTATGAGGCCGGGTGCGGTGGCTCACGCCTGTAATTCCAGCACTTTGGGAGGCCAAGGCAGGCGGATCACGAGGTCAGGAGATCGAGACCATCCTGGCTAACACGGTGAATCCCTGTCTCTACTAAAAATACAAAAAATTAGCTGGGGAGTGGTGGCGGGCGCCTGTAGTCCCAGCTACTCGGGAGGTTGAGGCAGGAGAATGGCGTGAACCCAGGAGGCGGAGCTTTCAGTGAGTCGAGATCGCGCCACTGCACTCCAGCCTGGGTGACAGAGCCAGACTCCGTTTCAAAAAAAAAAAAAAAAAAAAAAAAAAAAAAAAAAAAAAAAAACTTGTATAACTGATAAAAAAATCAGCAATGTTGCAGTATACAACATTAATATACAAAATCAGTAGCATTCTTATACAACAAGCATACTAAATCAATGTATAAAATTGGTACCATTTCTACACACCAGTAACAAAAATCTGTCGTTTTTATACATTATTAACTAACTGAAAAAGAACTAGCTGAAAAATCAAGAAAATTCCATTTACAATATCTACAAAAATAATAATACCTATTAATACATTTAATAAAGGAGATGAAAGACCTGTACAATGAAAACTACAAAACACTGATAAAAGACAGTGAAGAAGATACAAACAAATTGAAAGATATTCCATGTTCATGGGTCAGAATCAATATTATAAAAATAATCATACTACACAAGCAATCTACAGACTGAATGCCATCACTTTCAAAAATATGAAAGAAATTACTTACAGTAATAGGAAAAGAATCCTAAGATTTATGTGAAACCACCAAAAACCCCAAATAGCAAATGAAATCTAGGGAAAAAACAAAAATAAACCTGAACATCAGATTACCTGACTTCAAAATATATTACAAAGCTATTGTAGTATGTATGCTATAGCTATATACAAAGTATAGTAATCAAAACAGCATGGCATTGATATAAATACAGACACATAGACCAATATAACAGAATAAAATACGCAGAAATAAATCCACATATTTACAGCCCAACTGATTTTTGACAAAACTGCCAAAAATATACATCGGAAATAGGACATCCTTTTCAATTAGTGGTTCTGAGAAAACTACCCATTTACATGCAGAAAAGGTAAACTAGACCCTTTTTTTCATCCTATACAGAAATCAACACAAAATGAATTAAAACTTAAATCTAAGGCTTGAACCTCTAAAACTACTGAAAGAAAATAGGGGAAACCCTCAGGACATTGGTCTAGACAAAGATTTTGTGACTGAGTCTTCCAAAGCACAGGCAAACAAAAAATAGACAAATGTGATTACATTAAACTAAAAATCTTCTAGTTTTAGAAGAAATTAGAACAGAGTAAAACAATTAACAGAGTAAAAGACAAACTACATAATGGGGGAAAATATTTACAACTTACTCTTCTAACAATGGACCAATATCTAGAATATACAAGGAACTCACACAACTCAACAGCAAATAAATAAATAAATAAATAAATAAATAATTATGTAATAAATAAAATAATTCCCATTAAAAGTGTGCAAAATATTTGAATAGACATTTCTCAAAAGAAAACATACAAATGGCCAACAGGTATATTGAAAAATACTCAACATAATTTATTATCAGGGAAATGCAAATCAAAACCAAGATGAATCATCTCTCATTAAAATGGCTGTTATCAAAAAGACTAAAAATAACAAATGTTGGCAAGATGTGGAGAAAGGGGAACTCTTATACACTGTTGATAGGAATTTAAATTAGTAAAGCCATTATGAAAAACAGTATGCAGGTTTCACAAAATAACTAAAAATAGAACTACCACTACCATGTGAACTGGCAATCCCATTACTGGTTTTTATCCAAAGAAAAGGAAATCAGCATATCAAAATGACACCTTTATCCCTATTTTAGTGCAACACTATTTTCAATAGTCAAGATCTGGAATCACGCTGTCTGTTGATGGATGAACTATAATGAAAATATGATATGTATATGCAATGGAATGCTATTTATGACATTAAAAAGTATGAAACCCTACAGCAACATGGATGTAAATTGGAGGTCATTATGTTAAGTGAAGCAAATCAGACACAGAAAAATATTGCATGTTTGCATTGATATGTGGGAACTTAGAAATTTGGTTTTATGGTAGTAGAGATAATAATGATTATTAACGGAATGAGAAGGTTTGGAGGGGAGTGAGAATAAAGAGATTGGTTAACAAGTATAAACATGCAGTTAGATAGAAGAAATACATTTTGTGTTTGATATGACAGTAGTTTGATTATGATAATTATTTATTGTATATTTCAAAATTACTGCAAGAGAATTAAAATATTCACTCCACAAAGAAATAATAAATGATTGAGATGACTAATATCTTAAATACCCTGATGTGATCATTACACATTTCTGAATGTATCAAAATATGTACATTCCTATCAACGGTGTAAAAGTGTTCCTATTTAGCCACAGCCTTGCCAGCAACTGCTGTTTCTTGACTTTTTACTAAGTGCCATCTAACTGGTGTAAGATGGTATTTAATTATGGTTTTGATTTGCATTTCTCTAATAATCAGTGATATTGAGCATTTTTTCATATGTTTGCTGGCCACATAAATGTCATCTTTTGAGAAATGTCTGTTCATGTCTTTTGCCTGTTTTTTAATGGGTTTTCTTTTTCTTGTAAAGTTGTTTAAGTTCCTTGTAGATTCTGGATATTAGACCTTTGTCAGATAAATAGATTGCAAAAATGTTTACCTCATTTTGTAGGTTTTCTGTTCACTCTGATTATAGTATCTTTCACTGTGCAGAAGCTGGTTAGTTTAATTAGGTCCCACTTTTCAATTTTTGCTTTTGTTGCAATTGCTTTTGATGTTTTCATGATAAAATCTTTGCCCATGCCTATGTTGTGAATGGTATTGCCTAGATTTTCTTCTATGGTTTTTATAGTTTTGGGTTTTACATTTAAGTCTTTAATCCATCTTTAGTTAATTTTTGTATAAGGCGTAAGGAAGGGGTCAAGTTTCCATTTTCTAACTATGGCTAGCCGGTTCTCCCAGCACCATTTATTAAATAGGGAATAATTTCCCCATTACTTGTTTTTGTCAGGTTTGTCAAAGATCAGATGGTTGTAGATGTATGGTCTTATTTCTGAGATCTCTGTTCTTTTCCATTGGTCTATGTGTCTGTTTTCGTACCAGTACTCTGATGTTTTGGTTACTTTAGCCTTGTAGTATAGTTTGAAGTCGGGTAATTAAATTAGTTCAACCATTGTAGAAGACAGTGTGATGATTCCTCAAAGACCTAGAACCAGAAATACCATTTGACCCAGCAATCTTATATGTGGGTATGTACCCAAAAAATATAAACCATTCTATTATAGGGATACATGCACACATATGTTCAGTGCAGCACTATTCACAGTAGTAGAGATGTGGAATCAACCCAAATGTCCATCAATTATAGACTGGATAAAGAAAATGTGGTACATATACGCCATCAAATACTATGCAGCCATAAAAAGAAATAAGATCACGTCATTTGCAGGGACATGGATGGAGCTGGAAGCCATTAACTTCAGCAAACTAACACGGGAAAACCAAACACTGCATGTTCTCACTTATATGTGGGAGCTGAACAACGAGAACACATGCACACAGTGAGGGGAACAACACACACTGGGGCTTCTCTGGGGGTCGGGAGAAGTAGAGCATCAGAAAAAATAATAGCTAATGCATGCTGGCCTTAATACCTAGGTGATGGGTTGAAAAGTGCAGCAAACCACCATGGCACATGTTTACTATGTAACAACCTGCAGGTCTTGCACATGTATCCTGGAACTTAAAATTAAATTAAATTAAATATTTAAAAAATGATCTGATGATTAACGTAGGATTTCTATGTTATTTTTATTTTTAGAACCTCTGCATAGTGTTAAAAGTATCAAATAGTATCTAATTAGATCTGAACACACAGACTTGCTCATACATCTGACAGAAGAGCTTACCAGTCTGAGTGTACCACGTATTAACAGCATTATTTTTGGTTATTATAAAAGTCCTAAAATCAGATTTCAAGAAAGCAATGAAGTCAATTCACTCCATTCCCCACACCCTACTTCCTATTATTTATTTGTATCAGATAATAAAATGATAATCTATTGCCTATCCAAGGAAAAAAAATCACATGTATCCCATAAATATCTACAATTATTATGTATCAATAGAACATTTTTAATTTTTTAAAAAAGAAACAGAATAAAATTCCAAGACATTGGTAACTTTTGTAATACCAATAAAATAAATTACAGTTTCTGAAAAAAAGACATACAAATGGCTAACAGTTATATAAGTAAATGTTCAATACCACTAATTATCAGGGAAATGCAAATCAAGCTACTACCCCACTCCATTTATAATGGCTATTATCTAAAAGACAAAAAAAAAAAAAAAATGTGCTGGGAAGAATGTGGACAGAAGAGAACACCTACACACTGTTCGTGGGACTGTAAATTAGTACAGCTATTATGAAGAATTGTATGGAGGTTTCCTAATAATTGAAAGTAGAATTACCATAACATCTAATTATACATAAGATACAATGTTATTATTGAGTTTATATCCAAAAAATATTAAATTAGTATGTAGAAGAGATATCTGCAACCCAATGTTTATTGCAGCACTATTAACAACTGCCAAAATATGGAATCCAGCTAAGTGTCAAAAAATGGATGAATGGGTAAAGATAATGTGGTATGTATATACAATGAAATATTACTCCACCATAAACAGGAATAAAATTCTGTTATTTGTGGCAACCTGGATGCAACTGGAGAACATAATATTACCTGAAATAAAACATACACAGAAAGAAAAATACCACATAATCTCACCAATATGTTAAATCTAGAGAAAAAGTTGACATCATGGAAATAGTAGAATAGTGGTTACCAGAGACTGAGAAAAAGATAAAGAAGGGAAGCATTGGGAAAGGTTGAACGAAGGGTACAAAGTTACAATTATAGGAGAAGAATAAGTTATATGCACAGGAAATTATATAAGAGGAATGATACAAGAGGGATTATAAGAGGAATTTTAATTATAATTACAATTATATAAGAGGAATAAGTTATGTTTCACAGCAAAGTGACTGTGGTTAATAGTAAGGCATTGTATATTAAAAATGGCTAACGCAGGAACAGAAAACCAAGCCACTGCATGTTCTCACTTATAAGGGGAAGCTGAAGAAAGAGAATACATGGACACAGGGAGGGGAACAACACGTACTGGGTCCTTTCAGAGGGGTAAGGGAAGGGAGAGCATCAGCAAAAGCAGCTAATGCATGCTGGACTTAATACCTCAGTGATGGGTTTATACGTGTAGTGAACCACCATGGCACATGTTTACCTATGTGAAAAAACTGCACATTCTGCACATGTACCCCAGAACTTAAAATAAACATAAATAAATAAATGGCTAGAAGAAAAGTTTTTTTTAAATGTTCTCAACACAAATGATAAATGCATGAAATGATGGATATGCTAACTGTCTTGATTTGATCCTTATACAATATATATATGCATTTAAACATCAAATTTTACCCTATAAACATGTACAATGTTTCACAATAAAAAAAAAAAAAAAACCTGGCCAGGTGTGGCATCTCACTCCTGTAATTCCAGAAATTTGGGAGGCTGAGGCGGGTGGATCACCTGAGGTCAGGAGTTCGAGGCCAGCCTGGCCAACATGGTGAAACCCCATATATACTGAAAATAACAAAAATTAGATGGGCGTGGTGGTGCACACCTGTAATATCAGCTACTTGGGAGGCTGAGGCCAGAGAATCACTTGAACCTGGGAGGTGGAGGTTGCAGTGGACCGAGATCATGCCACTGCACTCCAGCCTGGGCAACAGAGTGAGACTCTGTCTCAAAAACATATAAAGAAACCCAAGGATCATTATTAAGATTATTGAGTCTTCCCTTTCCCACACCTTGTATCAATCATCATTTAAGTTTTTGTTTATTTTTTGGAATAAGAGAGATGAAGGAGGTGATAAATTTCATTTTTGACCTATTAAGATTTTAATGTATACGAGAGGTTAGTAAAGATGTGAAGAAAGCAGTTGGAAAAATGGGCATAAATATGAGGAAAAATATTTGAGATTGAAATATAAATTTGGGATATTTAGTATGTAAGCAGTAATCAAAAGCATAAAAATATTATAGAATTACCTTTGGTGTATGTGTATGTGTGGAGAGAAAAATAACATGGCTTAGGAAAGGACTGTTGATTCCTTGACATTTCTTGCTGGAGATTACACTATCCCTTGGATAGCTTATATGATTCACTGCCTTCTTCAACTCTTGCCACTTGGCCAATAATATCTAGAGTGAGAATTTATCAATAAAAAAGAAGTAAATGGCATTGAAAAGAGTGATTAGAGAATCAAAAATTTGCATGTTGTCTTCTGTATTACCCAAGTATGACATATGGTATACTTAGTGTTGTATTCATCAAAGTATTATGGGCCATAGCCGGGACATTACACCTGACATTATCGTGATCCAAATAAAATATTGACAGACATCATCTTCTTTACTTTAATTCTGTTTTCATAAAGCAGCCTTCTGATTACTAATTTGGCTTTCTAATTACCTTAATATGGGAAATAAGGGTACCCTCTCAAAAATTTCTAAGTCTGAAGTGGATAACCATGCATTTAAAAAGGAAATACTGGAACTTATTATACATATCAGTTATTGACACACTTTTATTTTCTTTTCTTTTTCTGGTCTGCTGCTTAGTAAATCCAGATTCTGGATTGGCAAAACTGAAGTCTGGGTTCATGTGAATCATGTTGACTTTACCAGAGCAGTGTCATCCTGTGTAACTTCTCAGTAGCTAGCTTTCCAGCCTATGTATCTGTGAAAGAAATTAGGCTAAGAATTTAGAAATAGTGATTATATTTGGCTCTTCATAGTCAGTTGGTGTCATTTTTGAAAGTAAATATAAATACGTGGTGGGAAAAGCACTCAGATAACATGGAATTCAAGGTTGGACTGGTAGATAAGTGGATTAAATGTTGTAGACTACACTGTCACAAAGTTTTTCAAGTGAAAAAGAGAAATGAGACAATTTTAGAATGTTCACAAGGAAGCTTCAAGAAGTGGAATAAACTGAAGATGTATTCAAAAAATGAGGTTAACTGACAAAGCAAGATATTATAAAGCCTTCCTATTTAAACTGCTCTGTGGACAAATAGCACTTTCACTTCACCAAGTGATTTCTTAGAAATACAGGGTCATGAGCCTACACCATACCTTTTAAATCAGAATTTGTATTTAGCAACGGCCCAGATGTATAAATTACTGGTAGAATAATTGACTTCGTCAAGAGAGAAAGCAATTTTTGCTTTAGACACAGAAGAAAAAGTGTAATACATAATTATTCAAAAGAACTTTGCAAACATTCTACCAGTGTGTCAGAGATGAAAAGTTGTGATACACATCTGATCATCTTAATCTTCTCAGTGATATCATCTGAGAAGAAGAAATGATGTAGAATTAGAGTATTGAGAAAAGAAGGTGAGCAGTACAACTATTGTGGGGAATGAAGTGGAGAGTTAAATATTTAGCAAAGTACCTGTAAAGTACACTCAGCCCTCAGCTGAGAGTGGGTACTTTAAATTTTGTGGTAGAGGCCATATTCATGACTACGTAATTTTCTTTGTATTGCTTTGCAGTTCACGAACAAGGTCATAAGATGCAACTTGGTTGAAATTGCCAAGTACTGGAAACTGGCAATGCAATAAACATGCTAGAAAGTCACTGAAGTGAGGTTATCTGAAGTACTAGTGAGTGAATAATGCATATTTGAAAGAGAAGATCTTGATATCAAGGGAAGATAGGAAAGCATATGAAGCCATGAGAGGACTTGTAGACCCCTATGGTTTAAATGTTTGCCCTTTCCAAAACTCTTGTTGAAATTTAATTGTAATTGTGGTGGTGTTAAGAGGTTATATTTTGGGAGGTGATAGGGCCATAAGGGCTCTACCTTAATGGATGCGATTAACAATAACATGAGGAGGAGTTCAGCCCCCTTTTGCCTTTTTGTCCTTCCAATGTCCACTGTGTGATAATGCAGCAAGAAGGCCCGAAAAAGATGCCAACACCTTGATATTGGACTTCCTAGCCTCCAGTTATGTGGGAAAAATAAATTTCTATTCATTATAAATTGTGATTTTTTTAGGTATTTTGTAATACGAGCACAAATGGATTAAGACAGAAATTGGTACTGAAGAGTGGAATGTGCTATACAATTATTTGAAAATGTAAAAGCAGTTTTGGAACTGGGCAACTGGAAAAGATCAGTAAGTTTTTTGAAATGCAAGATATAAGAAGCCATGATTGGAACAATATGAGAAATTATAATGAGAGCTCAGAAGAAGAGAATAACTGTAGAACAACTCTGAAATGTTTTAGAGATGACTTAAGTGGTCATAATCAAAATGTTTGTAGAAATATGGACATTAAAGGCCATTCTGAAGAGGTCTAAAATAGTAATGTGAATCTTTAATGATTTTTTAGGTTTAATTGTCATGCTATAAACTGCATATATGTAAGTTGTATAATTTGATGAATTTTGAAGAGAATGTACACGCACGCATATATAAATGTATGTATGTGCATATATACACACGGAATTAGAATTTTAATAACAAGGCAGAAATCATTAAAAAATCATAAAAAGGAGAAATTTTGCAGGTGCAAAGTACAATGTAACAAGAATTTTAGTAATGACAGAAATCATAAAAATCATAAAAAAGAGAAATTTTGCAGGTACAAAATACAATGAGTGAAATAAAAAATGCAATAGAGAGTGCCAACATAGATATATATACACACACATACACATATAAATATATATGTTTATATATGCATGTGTGTGTATATATGTTGTATATGCATATATAAACACATATAGATGTTAAAATATCTCAGTCAAGATACTGAACATATTGATCACTCAAAAGTTTTCTTTTGTCACTTTGTGATTCATCCCGTAATTGCTCCTTTATGCCCCAGGCCGCTAAATAATCTGTTTACTATTACTACAAATTAGTTTATATATCATAGGAATTTATATAAATGTGGTCAGGCGGAGATATCAGCAAGATGGCAGAATAGGAGATTTCTACCATCATCCCCCTGCACAGCTATTCTTTTTGACAATTACCTACAGATGAAGAGTACCTTTGTGAGTACAGGAGTCCAGCAGAAATATTTTACTACACTGTTGGAGCAAAAATCTGAGAATACACTCATTTGTTTTATTTTATTTTATTTTATTATTATACTTTAAGTTCTAGGGTACATGTGCACAACGTGCAGGTTTGTTACACATGTATACATGTGCCATGTTGGTGTACTGCACCCATTAACTCGTCATTTACATTAGGTATATCTCCTAATGCTATCCTTCCCCCCTCCCCCCACCCCAAGACAGGCCCCTGTGTGTGATGTTCCCCTTCCTGTGTCCAAGTGTTCTCATTGTTCAATTTCCACCTATGAGTGAGAACATGCGGTGTTTGGTTTTCTGTCCTTGCGATAGTTTGCTGAGAATGATGGTTTCTAGCTCCATCCATGTCCCTACAAAGGACATGAACTCATCCTTTTTTATGGCTGCACAGTGAGAATACAGTCATTTAAAAAGTAAGTAGGACAGTTTTAATGTATCCATGCTATTCCTCCCCCTCGGAGGCACAACACATTACCAAGGGAGACCTCTGCAACCTGTGATTTTTTTTTTTTTTTTTTTTTTTTTTTTTGAGACGGAGTCTCATGCCATTCTCCTTCCTCAGCCTTCCGAGTAGCTGGGACTACAGGCGCCCACCACACCGGCTAATTTTTTGTATATTTAGTAGAGACGGGGTTTCACCGTGTTAGCCAGGATGGTCTCGATCTCCTGACCTCGTGATCTGCCCGCCTCGGCCTCCCAAAGTGCTGGGATTACAGGCGTGAGCCACCGCGCCCGGCCAATTATTATTATTATTTTTTACAAGGGAAAGTAATAATGTAGTGAGTGCCTGACTACCACGAACAATGGGTTACGACTTACGAGGCCCATTTCTTTCTTGCCTCACCCAGATTACTGAAGTAATCAGCAGAGCTGAGTGGTTGGGAGAAGCTGAAAACAAAAATAGAGACTTAAGCCCAAAATAACCACAGCAAGATTCCATCAGTTAGCTTCCCACAAGCAATGTGGAATGCTTTCCCTGCCGATGCCTCCCAACTTGCCTATGGGTTCTCCAAATACTTGATGTGCCTCACTACCTTCGTTGCCAGGACTGGCTCACCACATGCACTACCCTGCTTTTCCCTCAGACTTTAAATGTAAGCTCTTGCAGATGACTCATGAGCACTTGCATCCAGCTGGCTAAATTCTGTGTTATTAAGAGAAAGCATGCAAACTTGAGCATTTTAGGAAACTACTCCAGGAAAAAAAAAAAAAAGAAGGCTCTTATCACCCAGCCTGGCACTGTGGAATTGAGAAAAGGTATACAATCTTAATAAATCTCCCATAAATGGAATGAAGAGGTATGAAGCAGGTGCATCTGTAGAGAATAATCTAAGGAAGACTCAGAATTCCTAGCCAATTGCTTAACCTTTTCTTCATGATTGGTGAAGGTGTTTCTCTTTCCAAGCCAGCCAGACTGCTTCTTTAAGTGTGAAGGCAGTAACACAATACTTCAAGAAACATGAATAGTCAAGGGAACTTTACATCAACAAAGGGACACAAAATATTCCAGTAACTAACCCCAAAGAAATGGGTATCTACATGTTGCTTCAGGGAGAATTCATAAAAATGATTTTTAAAAGCTCAGCAAGCTACGAGATAATACGGATGGACAACTCAATAAAATCAGAAAAAAATACAATATATACAAAAAATTAGAAGTTTAGTAATGAAACAGAAATCATAAGAAAGAAATTTTGCAGCTGCAAAATATGAGTGAAATAATAAATGCAATAGAGAGTGCCAACAACAGACTTGATCAAAGGAAAAAAAAATCTGCAAACTCACAGACAAATCATCAGAGGAGAATAAAGAAAAAAATTAAAAGTGATAAAAGCCTGTGAGATTTATGGGACACCAACAAGAGAGCTAACCTTTTCCTTGTTAAAATAACAGAAAGTGATGAGACAGAGAAAGTGACAGAAAACGTATTTAAAAAATAATGGCTGATTTGTGACAACATTAATGAATCTGGACATTATGCACAGTGAAATTATCCAGACAAAACACCAAAAATACTTTATAATCTCACTTATATGTGGAATTTACAAAGTCACACTCACTCATAGAAGCAGTGAATAGAATGGTGATTGCCACAGGGCCAGGGCCAGGAAATAGGAAAAATGGGGAGATGTTCGCTAAAGGGTATGAACTTTCATTCATAAGATGAGTAAATTCTGGAGACCTATGTACAGTATGATGATTATAATTAATAATAGTGACAGAGGTGACATTAGCAATATTGTAAAATATGAGGTCCTAGGCTTTTCTTCACCCTTCCCTCAGGGAAAGCTCGACTAACAACTATCCACATACAAAAACACCCGAAAAACCCAAAAACTTGGAAATAAGCCTGAGACACCAAAGGGGACCAGTAAATCCAACAAAACTCCTTTGGAAGTATAAGAGGAGTAGTCTCATATATGCCCCATTTTCCCTTTCTTGCCTCCAAGTTGACCAAGTGTCACAAAGAGAGGATTCTCTTGGGATGATGTTTCTACAGTGAGAAAACAGATTTGGAGATGAACATCCAGGTTCCCTAGCATTCTAAAATGCCTCTCAGTCTCATCTCACTGGGAATAAAAAGGTAATTTCACAGTTAGACCAGTTGAAGTCAAACAGGAACAAAGAAAGGAGGAATTTCTCACAGCAACTAGTATGTGGATCTTTGGTGGTAGCTCCATGTTACTGCCAACAGAGATGACCAATTAGAGGTACCAACTGCACGGTCTACCTGCAAAGCTGAGCATATTGCTTTCAGAGGCATGGTGGAAAATTCAATCTGGCTGAGTCCCAAAACAGACACCTTTCATGCCCAACTTCAAACCCCACCCCAAGGCCCTGCCGAGGGAGAAAGATGCCTGCCATAAACTATTTTAGCAAAGTGCATGGGATAGAGTTGTACCACCTGGGAACTCAAACAAGGACTTTGTTCAATGGCAAAGCCCACCCCAGATGAGATCCCACACAAGAAGGTAGATGTTTATGACAACACCATTCAGCAAAGCAGAGGGACTAGATTTATACCAGTTAGGTGTTTAAACACTGGCTTTGATGAGCCTCAAAGCCCACCTCAAGGCCCTTCCCGGTAAAGGATATGCCCAAAGCAGTGCCTTTCAGCCAACCACAGGACCACCTTTGCCACCTGGTCACTCAAACAGTGGCTCATCTCAGTCTTAAAGGTCATCCCAAGTCTCCACTCAGACAAGGAGACAAATCTCAACTGTACAATTTTTATTAATCATAGCAACTGGTCCCCACTATCTTGAGCAGTGATTCCATCTAACCTTGGAAAACAACCTACAGCTCTACCAATTTGCAGAGCTGGTGCCATTGGGCCAGGGAATGCATTTTATGTCTCAGCCTGATGAGAAGTAATCATTGTATCAAGCCCACAGCTCTTCCTGATTGAAGAGCCTAGCCAGAGCTCTCACTAGACAGCAGAGCCCAGCTAGCAGCCCCATCCAACCTGAGCAAACTAGCAGCTTAGCCAGCTAGAGAACCTAACAGAAAACTCTGCCTACCAGGTGTCATTACTTGCTGGCTCACTTAGAATCAACAACTGGACTTAATAGAGGAGGTCTATTCCTTACAAAAACACCTATAAAGGATGGAATAGGAGTGTCACTTCTCAAATGCACACGCACAAATTAAACAACATAAGAATTATGAAGAATTGGGGAATCATGACATCTCTATAAAAACTAATGAAGCTTCAACAATAAATCCTAAAAAATAGCAATCTAGTAAAAGGCTGACAAATAATTTCTCCAAAAATAGTTTAGTGAATTACAAAAAATACATGGGTAGAAAATTTAATAAATTTCGGGAAAAAATACATCAACAGTAAAAACTTTGACAAAAATAGAAAACATTTTAGAAACCAAGTAGAAATCATAGTGATAAAGAGCACAATGACTGCACTGAAAAAAAAAAATCAGTAAAAACCTTCAACAGCAGGCTGAATAAAACAAAAGGAAAAAATCAGTGAACAAGAAAAAAGAATATTTACAATTATTCAGACAGAGGAGTAAAAAGAAAAAAATGTAAAGAAAATGAAGAAAGCCTACAAGAGTATGGGACATTATCAAGACACACAATTTGCAAAAGTGGAGTTCCTGCAGGAGAATAGAGATTTAAAAAGCCATAAAATACACTTAAAGAAATAATGTGGTTTTTTTCCAAGATGGTAGATTAGAGGCATTGCTGGCATACTGCTCCTTTGAAGGAAGCAGGAGGCTGCAGCCTACACTGTGAGTCAGGCAAAGGGTTGTGAGTCCCCAGAGTGTGAGGGGCGAAAGTTTGCCTTTGGGATACATGCCCCCACTGGAGACCCTGAAAATCCAGGACATGAGGAAAGGCCTTACTGCCACCCAGTGCAGGAACCAACTTGAGGAGGATTGTGGAATATAAAAGTAGGAGCATCAGTGGGTAAGAAACTTGTGTGCACCTCCAGATCCCACTGTGGAACAAGGGCAGCTATTCCTTACTTTTCCTCACAGGGGACCCTGCAGAAGACAACCAAAGAGTTCAGTTGGTGGTTTCAGATTGAAAGAAGCTTCCATTGGGGTTTTACAATATAACATTGAGTAGAGACAAACTCCTTTGGCCAGGAACAGAGGAGAGTATAAAGTGGGCAGCAAGTGCAGGAGCTACAGGTGAAGCAGAAGAAAAAAATTCAGGAGAAGTAATTTCAGAGCTCAAAGACAAGGCTTTTTAATTAACTCAATTAGACAAAAATAAAGAAAAAAATCAAAAGAAATGAACAGTCTCCAAGAAATGTGAGATTATGTCAAATGACCAAAACTAAGAGTATTGATGTTCCTGAGAGAGAAGAGAAAATAATAAGTCTAGAAAACCTATTTGAGGGAATTGAGAAAAGCTTTCTGGCCTGGCTAGAGATTTGTATATCTAAATTCAAGAAGCTCAAAGAACTCCTTGGAAATTCACTGCAAAAAGAATTTCACCAAGACATGCAGTCACCAGGCTATCTAAAGTGAACATGAAGGAAATAATTCTAAGAGCAGTAAGACAAAAGCAGAAGGTAAGCTACAATGGAAAATCTATCGGACTAACGGCAGACTTCTCAGCAGAAACCTTACAAGGTAGAAGAGTGGGGTCCTATCTTCAACTTCCTTAAACAGAACAGCTGTCAGCTGTTATATCCTGCAAAACAAATTTTTATAAATGATGGAGAAATAAAGTCATTTTCAGACAAATAAATGTGGAGGGAATTTGTCACTACCAATCCAGCACTACAAGAAATGCTAAAAAAAAAAAAAAAAAAAAAAAAAAAAAAAAAAAAAAAAAAAACCTTCTAAACCTTGAAACAAAAGCCCAATATGTGTCAAAATAGAACCTCTTGAAATATTAAAATTCACAGAGCTGTGAAACAGTAACACAATAAAAAACTATTGCAGTAACAACGTGATAAAGAAAACAGTAACTCACATCTTAATATGTAATGTAAATGGACTAAATGCTCCATTTAAAAAATACAGAATGGCGGAACGGATAAAAATTACAATATAAATATCTGCTGTCTTCAAGAGACCCACCTAACACAGAATGATTCATACAAACTCAAGATAAAAGGATTGGGAAAGCTATTCCACACACATAGAAATCAAAAGTGACCAGGAGTGGAAAATCTTATATCAGACAAAATAGACTTTAAAGCAACAATAGTAAAAAAAAAAAATTGTCATTATATAATATTAAAAAGATAAATTCAGCAAGAATATATTACAGTCCTAATATATATGCATAAAATCTTGGAGCTCCTAGATTCATAAAAAAGTTACTACTAGACCTAAGAAATGAGATAAACAGTGCAACAGTAATAGTGGGAGACTTCAATACAGCACTGACAGCATTAGACAGATAATCAAGACAGAAAGTCAACAGAAAGAAAATGGATTTAAATAACATGCTGGAACAAATGGACTTAGTGAATCTTTACAAAACATTCTCCCCAAGAACTGCAGAATATAATTTTTTCTCATCAGCACACAGCACAGCCTCCAAGATAGACCACATGACAGGCCACAAAACAAGTCTCAATGCATTTTTAAAAACCAAAATTATATCAAGTATCTTCTCAGACCATAGTGGAATAAAGCTAAAAGACAACTCAAAAAGGAAACCTCAAAATTATACAAATATATAGAAATTAAATAATCTGCTCTTGAATAACTGGCTTAACATTAAATCATGATGAAAATAGAAAGTTATTTGAATTAAATAATAATGAGAAAAGTTACCAAACCCTCTGAGATACAGCAAAAGCAGTGCTAAAAGGAAATTTCATAGGGCTAAATGTCCACATTTAAAAGTCTGAAAGAGTACAAATTGATAACTTAATGTCCCACTTCAACAAACTGGAGAAACCAGAACAAACTAAACCTAAAGCTAAAAGAAGAAAGAAAACAACAAAGATTAGAGCAGGACTACATAATATTCAAACAAAAAAATATATAAACAAAGTAAAGGAAACAAAGAGGTGGTTCTTTGAAAAAATAGATAAAATTGATAGACCATTATCCAGATTAATCAAGAAAAAAAAGAGAAGAGAAAAATAAGCTCAATTGGAAATGAAACTAGAAACATTACAACTGACATCATAGAAATACAAAAGATCATTTGAGACTACTATGAAGATCTCTGTGCACAAACTAGAAAACCTAGAGAAAATGGACAAATTCTAGGAAACACACAGCCCTCCTAGATTAAATCAGTAAGAAATAGAAACATTGAACGACCAATAACAAGCAGCAAGATTGAATCAGTAATTTAAAAATTGCCAACAAAAAATGGCCAGATGGATTCACAGCTGAATTCTACCAGATATTAAAAAAAAAAAAAAAGAATTGGTACCAATTCTACTGAAACTCTTCCAAGAGATTGAGAAAAGGGGAATCCTCTCTAAATCATTCTATGAAGCTACTATCACCCTGATACCAGAATCAGGAAATAGTACAATAAAAAGAAGAAAACAACACACAAACTTCCCTGATGAACTTAAATGCAAAAATCAGCAACAAAATATTAGCTAATTGAATCTAGCAGCACATCAAAAAGATAATTCATCATGATCAAGTAGGTTCACTCCATGGATACAAGGATGGTTTAACATATGCAATTCCATAAATGTGGTACATCATTTGAAAGAATTAAAAGGACAAACTATATGATCATCTCAATAGAGGCAGAGAGAGCATTCAACAAAATCTAGCCCCCTTTATGATGAAAACTCTCAACAACATAGAAGGAACCTACCTCAAAATAATAAAAGCCATATGTGACAAACCCAAAGCCAGCGTCATACTGAATGGGGGAAAGGTTAAAGCATTTCCCCTAAGAACAGGAACAAGACAAGAATGGCCATTATTACCACTCCTAATCAACATAATTATGGAAGTACTACACAGAGCAATTAGATAATAAGAAAAACAAAAGCATCTAAATTGAAAAAAAGGAAGTTAAATTATCACTGTTTGCAGATGATATGATTGTATAGTTAGATACAATATAATATATTGTATCTAAATATACAATATGTATTTATTATATATATTGTATAATATATATACAATATATTCTATTGTATAAGGAAGATTATTGTATAAGGAAGATTTATGTATAAGGAAGAATAATTGTATATTTATATACAATTATTCTATTGTATAAGGAAGGCCTTATAAATATAAGGCCTTATATTGTATAAGGAAGGTCTTATAAATATAAGGCCTTCCAAAGACCCTTATATTTCATAAACAAATTCAATAAAGTCTCAAGTTACAAAATCAATGTACACACATTGTTAGCCCCACCAAAAATGACCAAGCTGATAATCAAAGAGATGACAGATCTCTACAAGGAGAACTATAAAATACTGCTGAAATAAATCATAAATGACCTAAACAAATGGAAACACATCTCATGCTCATGAATTGGAAGACTCAATATTGTGAAAATGACCATACTTCCCAAAACAATCTATGGATTCAATATAATCCCCATCAAAATATCAATGTCACTTTTCACAGAATTTAAAAAAGAAAATTCTAAAATTCAAATGGAACCAAAAACAGCACAAATAGCCAAAGTAATTCTAAGCAAAAAGAACAAATCTGGAAGCATCACATTATTGAACTTGAAACTATAATACAAGGCTATAGTTACCAAAACGGCATGGAGCTGGTATAAAAGCAGGCACATAGACTAATGGAACATAATAAAAAGCCTAGAAATAAAATGAAATATGTACAGCCAACTAATTTTTGACAAAACATGAAAAACATAAATTAAGGAATGGACATCATATTCAATAAATGGTGCTGGGAAAACTGGCAAGCCACATGTGGAAGAATGAAACTGGATCCTTATCTCTCATCATATATAAAAATCAACTCAAGATGGTTTGAAGACTTAAATATTGGGCCTGTGATGTGGCTAGGCTTTATGCCCCCATCCAATTCTCATCTTGAATTGTAATCCCCATAATTCCCATAAACCCCATGTGTCAAGGGAGAGACCAGGTAAAGGTAATTTAATCATGGGGATGGTTTCCCTGTCCTGTGATATTGACTGAGTTCTCATGAGACCTGACGGCTTTATTAGAGCCTCTTCCCTCTTCACTCAGCACTTCTCCTTTGTGCTGCCTTGTGAAGAAGGTGCATTGCTTTCCCTTCACCTTCTTCCATGATTGTAAGTTTCCTGAGGCTTCCCCACCCATACTAAACTGTGACTCAATTAAACATCTTTTCTTTATAAATTACCCAGTTTCAGGTAGTCCTTTATAGCATTATAAAAGCAAACTGATACAGCCTGAGACCCTAAAATTTCTAGAAGACAACTTTGGAAAAACTCTTCTAGACATTGGCTTAGGCAAATAATTTATAACTGTGACCCCAAAAGCAAATGCAACAAAAACAAAAATAAACAAATGAGACCCAAATAAACAGAAAAGCATCTGCAAGTCAAAATAAATAAGCAACAGAAGAAAAGGACAACCTACGGAGCAGGAGAAAATATTTGCAAACTACACATTCGACAACAAACTAATATCCAGAATCTATAAGGATCTCAAGCAAATGACAAAGAAAAAAATCAAATAATCCCATTAAAAAGTGGACAGAGAACACGAATAGACATTTCTTAAAAGAAAATATACAAATGGCAAACAAATATATGAAGAAATGCTCAACATTATTAATCATAAGGGAAATGCGAATTAAAACCACAGTGAGATACTACCGTACTCCCGAAAGAATAGCTATTATTAAAAAGACAAAAAACAATGGATGTTGACATGTATGTGGGGAAAAGGAACACACATACACTGCTAGTGAGAATGTAAATTCCTAAACCTCTTTGGAAAACAGTATGGATATTCCTTAAAGAGCTATAAGTGGATCTGCCATTGAATGCAGCAATCTCACTACTGAATATGTACCCAAAGGAAAAGAAGTCATTGTATAAAAAAGACACTTGCACATATATGTTTCTGGCAGCACCATTCACAATTACAAAGATGTCGAACTAATCTAAGTGTCCATCAACTAAAAAGTGAATAAAGAAAATGTGGTACACATTCACCATGAAACACTACTCAGCCATTAAAAGTAATGAAATAAATGTCTTTTGCAGAAATTTGGACGAAGCTGGGGGCCCATTATTCTAAGTGAAGTAACATAGAAGTGGAAAACCAGAAACTGTATGTTCTCACTTCCAAGCGGGAGCTGAGCTATGAGTACACAAAGGCATACAGAGTAATATAAGGGACTTTGGAGACTCAGAAGTAGGAGGGTAACAAAGGCACCCAGGATTTAAAAAAAAACTACCTAATAGGTACCATGTACACTACTCAGGTGACGGGTGCAATAAAATTGCAGAATTTGCCACTATATAATCCATCTATGTAACCAAAAACTAATTGTACTCCAAAAGTTATTGATATAATAATAATAATAATGGCTGAAAAGGTCCTAAATCTGGGCAAATGTGCCAACATCTAGGAACAAAAATCTTAGAGATTGTCAGCCAAATTTAACTGAAAGAGGACTGCACTAAGATACATTATAATCAAACTATCAAAAATCAAAGACAAAAATTGCTGAAAGCAGCAAAAGATAAGAAAGAGATTACATGTAGGGGAGTTCCTTTATGATTATCAGTCAATTTCTCAGCAAAATCCCTGTAGGCCAGCAGATAGTGGGATTGTGTCTTCAAAGTATCAAAAGAGAAAAAACTGCCTAACAAGAATACTTTTACCTAGCAAAGCTGTTCTTCAGAAGTGAGGAAGAAAGAAAAACTTGCCCAGATTGAAAACAAAATTTAAACAATTAATGAATCCACCAGTTGGTTTCTTGAAAGAGTTGATGAGATACATATAGTGCTGGATAGAGTAGGAAAAAAGAAGAGAGAAGATCCAAATAAACATAATGGGAAATGACAAAGGGGACCTTACTGTTGAACCCACAGATATACAAAAAAATCCACACAGACTATTACAAACACCTCTATGCCTACGAGCTACACAATGTAGAAGATTAGCTAAATCCTTAAAAAAATACAACCTCCCAAGATTGAACCAGGAAGACATTAAAACCCTGAGCAGATCAATAACAAGTTCCAAGACTGAATCAGTAATAAGAATGTACCAACCAGACAAAGCCCAGGACCAGAAAGATTCACAGCTAAATACTACAAGATGTATAAGGAAGAGGTGGTACCATTTCCACTGAAACCACCTCATTCTATGAGGCCAACATCATCCTAACAGTGAAACCTTTCAGAGACACAACAAAAAACAAAAAGGCCAATCTCTTTGATAAACTTTGATACAAATATACTCAACCAGATACTAGCAAACTGAATACAGCAGCACATCAAAAAGCTAATTCATGGCTGGGCACTGTGGCTCATGCCTGTAATCCCAGCACTTTGGAAGACTGAGGCAGACAGATCACAAGGTCAGGAGATCGAGACCATCCTGGCTAACATGGTGAAACCCCATTTCTACTAAAAATACAAAAAATTAGCTTGGCGTGGTGGCAGGCACCTGTAGTCCCAGCTAATCGGGAGGCTGAGGCAGGAGATCGCACCACTGCACTCCAGCCTGGGCAACAGTGTGACACTTCAGAAAAAAAAAAAAAAAAAACTAATTCACTCTGAACAAGTAGGCTTTCTCCCTGTGATACAAGTTTGGTTCAACATACATAAATCAATTAATGTGTTAATCACATAAATATAACAAAAATAAAACCCACAATCATCTCAATAGAGATGCAGAAAACGCTTTCTATACAATTCGACATTGCTGCATGTTAAAAATCCTCAACAAACTAGAAATTGAGTGAACATACTTCAAAATAATAAGAGCCATCTTTGACAAACTGACAGCTAACCTCATACTGAACGGGAAAAAGCTGGAAGTATTCCTCTTGAAACTGAAACAAGACAAAGATGACCTCTCATACCACATCTATTCAACACTGTACTGGAAATCCTAGCCAGAGCAATCAGGAAAGAAAAAGAAATTAAAGGAATCCAAATAGGGAGAGAGGAAATCAAAATATCTCTCTTTGCCGATGATATTATTCTATACCTAGAAACCCCATAGTCTTTGCCCAAAAGCTCATTGATTGGATACACAAATTCAGCACACTTTTGGGATACAAAATCAAGGTACAAAAATCAGCAGCATTCCTATATGCCAACAACATCAAAGCTGACAGCCAAATCAAGAATGCAATAGTATTCACAATAGCCACAAGAAAAATAAAATCCATAGGAATATAGCTAACCAAAAGATAAAAGAAGTCTACAGTGAGAATTACAAAACTTTGCTCAAATAAATCAGAGGTGGCACAAACAAATGGAAAACCATCTCATGTTCATGGAGAGAAAGAATCATATTGTCAAAATGGCCGTATTGCCCAAAGCAATTTACAGATTCAATATTTCTATCAAACCCCCAAAGACATTTTTCACAGAATTAGAAGAAAACATTTTAAAGTTCATATGAAACCATAAAAAAGCTTGAATAGCCAAGGCAATACTAAGCAGAAAGACTACAGCTGGAGGCATCTCATTACTCAACTTAAAACTATACTACGAGGCTAGAGTAATGAAAACAGCATGGTACTGGTAGATAAACAGATACATAGACAAGTGGAAAAAAAATAAAGACCCTCGAAGTAAGACCACACAACTACAAGCATTTGGATCTTGCACAAAATTTACAAAAACAAACAATGGGGAAAGACTTTCTATTTAATAAATTGTGCTGGGATAACTGACTAGGCCATATGCAGAAGACTGAACCTGCCCTCCTTTCTTAATCATATACAAAAATTAACAAGATGGATTAAAGACTTAAATCTAAAATGAAAATGTATAAAAAAAAAAACCCTGGAAGATAACCAAGGAAACACCATTCTGGATATAGGGCCTGGCAACCATTTCATGACAAAAACATCAAAAACAATTTCAAACAAAATTAACAAATGGGACCTCATTACACTAAATATATTCTGTAAAGCAAAGAAAACTCTCAACAAAGGCAACAGACAATTTACAGAATGGGAGGAAATACTTGCAAAGTATGCATCCAACAAAGTCTAACTTCCAGGGTCTATAAGAAATTTAAATTTACAAGCAAAAAAAAAAAAAAGAAAAAGAAAAAAGAAAAAGAAAAACAACTTCGTCAAAAAGTGGGCAAAGTATATGAACAGACACTTCTCAAAAAAAGACATTCATGCAGCCAAAAAGCATATGAAAAGAATGCTCAACATCACTAATCATTAGAGAAATGCAAATAAAACCCACAGTGAGATACCATCTCAAACCAGCCATAATGGCTACTATTAAAAAGTCAAAAAATAACAGATGCTGGCAAGGTTGTGGACAAAAGTGAATTCTTGTGCATTGCTGGTGGGAATATAGACCAGTTCAGTCATTGTGGAAAGCAGTTTGGCCATTTCTCATAGAACTTAAAACAGAATTATTGTTTGATATAACAATCCCATTATTGGGTATATACCAAAAGGAATATAAATTGTTCTACTATAAAGACACATGCACAGGTATGTTCATTGCAGTGCTACCCACAGTAGTGAAGATGTGGAGCCAAACTGAATGCCCATCAATAGTAGATTGGATAAAGAAAATGTGGTACTTAAACACCATGGAATAAGATGCAACCATAAAAAGAATGAGAGCACGTCCTTTGCAGTAACAGGAATAGAGCTGGAGGCTACTATCCTAAGGAAACTAACACAGAAACAGAAAACCAAATACCACATGTTCTCCCTTATAAGTGGAAGGTAAACACTGAGTACATATGAACACAAAGAAGGGAAAAACAGACACTTGGGCCTCCAGTAGGGTGGAGGGTAGGAGAAGGGTGGGAATCAAAATACAGCACTATTGAGTACTATGTTTACTACCTGGGTGATGAAATAATTTGTAGACAAACCCCTGTGACATACAGTATAATTATGTAGCAAACTTGCATATGTACCCCAGAAACTAACATAAAAGTTAGAAAAAAAAAAGCTAAGGGAGTTTATGACCACTACACCTGCCTAACAGAAATGACAAAAGTGTGTTATTTGAGCTGAAATAAGAGATTACTAGTTAATAACATAAAACATATAAAAATTAAAAACTCAATCATATTAGCACCACAGAACCATATTCAGGATAGACTTCAGTGATAATTGTGGAATGTACAGCAAATTTTACTCTAGTACAATGGTTAAAGAAAAAACAAGTACAAAATGATTTACGTATTTCTTATGGTATCGTATCACAAATATTATGCTAGATGCATAAACCATAAGTAGAAAAGCTCCATTAAAATAATCTGGAGGTATCACATTACCCGACTTCAAACTATACTGTTAAGTCTATAGTTACCAAAACAGCATGGTACTGGTATAAAAATAGACATGTAGACCAATGAAAAAGAATAGGGAACCAAGAAATAAAGCCAAATACTTATAGCCAACTGACCTTTGACAAAGCAAACAGAAACATAAATTGGGGAAAGGACACCCCATTCAACAAATGGTACTGGGATAATTGGCAAGCCACGTGTAGGAGAATGAAGCTGGATCCTCATCTCTCACCTTTCACAAAAATCAACTCAAGATGGATCAAAGACTTAAATCTAAGACGAGAAACCATAAAAATTCTAAAAGATAACATCCGCAAAACTCTTCTAATATTGGCTTAGGCAAAGTTTTTGTGACCAAAAGCCAAAAGTAAATGCAACAAAAACAAAAATAAGTAGATGGGACCTAATTAAACTAAAAAGCTTCTGCACAGGTAAAGAAATAATCAGCAGAGTAAACAAACAATGCACAGAATTGGAGAAAATATTCAAGAACTAAGCATCTGACAAAGGACAAATGTCTAGAACCCACAAGGAACTCAAACAAATCAACAAGAAAAAGCAATCCCATCAAAAATAGGGCAAAGGACATGAATACACAATTCTCAAAAGAAGATATACAAATGGCCAACAATCATATGAAAAAATGCTCAACATCACTACCTATCAGGGAAATACAAATCAAAACCACAATTAGATACTACCTTATTTTTGCCAGAATGCCTCGAATTAAAAAATCAAAAAATAACTGATATTATTGTAGATGTGGTGAGAAAAGAACACTAGTACACTGCTGGTGGGAATGTAAACTAGTACAACCATTATGGAAAACAGTGTGGAGATTCCTTTTAGAACTAGGAGTAGAACTACCACTTCATCTAGCAATTCCCCTACTGGAAATCTACCCAGGGGAAAAGAAGTCATTATATGAAAAAACACTTGCACATGCACGATTGTAGCAGCATAATTCATAATTGCTAAAATATGGAACCAGCCTAAGTGCTCACTAACCAAGGAGGGAAATGTGGTGTATATATACATATATTATATATATATATATGTATATATATATGTGTGTGTGTATATATATATATATATATATATATACACTATATATATACTGAGTAGTATTCCACTATATGTATATACACATATAGTGGAATACTACTCAGTCATAAAAAGGAACAAAATGGTGGCATTTGCAGCAACCTGGATGGAATTGGAGACCATTATTCTAAGTGAATAATGGAATTGGAGACCATTATTCTAAGTGAATAATGGAATTGGAGACCATTATTCTAAGTGAATAATGGAATTGGAGACCATTATTCTAAGTGAATAATGGAATTGGAGACCATTATTCTAAGTGAATAATGGAATTGGAGACCATTATTCTAAGTGAATAATGGAATTGGAGACCATTATTCTAAGTGAATAATGGAATTGGAGATTATTATTCTAAGTGAATAAATGGAATTGGAGACCATTTATTCTAAGGAATAAAAAAACCCAACATCGTATTTTCTCACATTTAAATGGCAGCTAAGTTATAAGGATGCATAACACCTAAGAATGATATAATGGACTTTGGGAACTCAAAGTGAAGGGTCGTAAGGGGGTGAAGGATAAAAGACTACCCATTGGTACAGTGTCCACTCCTCAGGTGATGGGTGCACGAAAATCTTAGAAATCATCTCTAAAGAAGTTTTCCATGCAACCAAACACCACCTATTCCCCCAAACCTATTGAATAAAAATAAAGCACTGACAATTTGATACAGTTGTTTAGTGATATAAAATTTAGACCATGAACACATCTACTCTAAAATTCTAATTAAATAAAAATAAAGATTGAAAATCTGACTGATTAAAAAAAAGAAAAGCTTCAGAGAATATCACTACAGAAAATCATCAAATAACAAAGAAAGACACCAAGAGAGAAAGAACAAAACACAGTATAACCCAAACAACCAAAACTAAATTAAATAAGGGCAGTGGTAAGTCCTTACCTATCAATAATTACTTTGAATATAAATAGATTAAATTATCCAATGAAAAGACATGGAATAGCTGTATGGATAAAAAAGACAAGACACAACTTTATGCTGCCTGAAAGATACCTTAAATTTAAGGAAACAAATAGACTGAAAGTGAAAGAGTGGAAAAATATATTTCATGGAAATGGAAACCAAAAGTGAGCGGAGTAGATATACTTACCTGAGACAATAGAGATCTTCAGCCAAAAATTGCATAATGAGATGAAGAAGGTCGTTTTATAATGATCAAGGTGTCAATTCATCAACAGGATATAACAATTGTAAATATATGAACACAACATTGGAACTAACACACACACATATTATAAATATAAAATATATATGTGTATATATATATATATATATAATATGAGACTCTGAAAGGAGAGATAGACTGTACTACAAAAATACTACAAGACTTCAGTACCCCATTTTCAACAATGGACAATTTTTCCAGATAAAAAAGCAAATAGAACACCTCTCAAACAGCACTTTAGACCAAAAATGGTTATAAAAATAGATACAGAGCACTCCATCAGGCAGCAACAGAGTACACATTCTTCTCAAGTTTACATAAAAGTTTCTCCAGGATATATCATGTGTTAGGGCATACAAGTCTGAACAAATTTAAGAGGATTTAGATATCAAATATCATTTCTGACCACAATAGTATGAGAGTAGAAATCAATAATAAGAAAAGTTTTGGAAAATTCAAAAATATGTGGGATTAAACAACATGCTATTGAACAACCAATGGACAAAAGAAGAAATTAATGGAGAAATAAAAACAATACCTTTAGAAAAACAAAAATGTAAGCACAAAAGAACAAAACCTATGGGATGAGGCAAAAGTAGTCATATGAGAGCAATTTACAGCAATAAATACCTATATCAAAAGGAAGGAAGCTCTAAAATAACAAAAAAAGAGAATTTGTCAAATAAAAACAAAAAATTAAAGAGGAGACATTATAACTGATATCACAGAAATATAAAGGATCTTAAAAGAATAATATGAATGTCAACAAATTATATAACCTAGAAAACATGTGGAAATACCTAGACACATATAACATACCAATACTTAATCCAGAAGAAACAGAAAGTTTGAACAGATAAATAAACGGTAAAAACTTTGAATCAGTAATTAATATTTCCCATTAGAGGAAAGCCCAAGACCTGATGGCCTCACTGCTGAATGTTACCAAATATTTAAAGAACTATTACCAATATTCCCAATAATTTTTTAATGCAGAAGAGAGAATACTTCTAAACCCTTAATGAGGTCAGTATTACTGTGATATCTAAGATTGTCAACTACATTGCAAGAAAAGAAAATGACAGACCAATATCCTTCGTGAACACAGGAACAAAAATCCTCAAAAAGATACTAGCAAACCAAATTCAAGAGCACTTTAAAAAGATGAGGACATGGATGAAATTGGAAATCATCATTCTCAGTAAACTATCACAAGAACAAAAAACCAAACACCACATATTCTCACTCATAGGTGGGAACTGAACAATGAGATCACATGGACACAGGAAGGGGAATATCACACTCTGGGGACTGTGGTGGGGTGGGGGGAGGGGGGAGGGATAGCATTGGGAGATATACCTAATGCTAGATGACGAGTTAGTGGGTGCAGCGCACCAGCATGGCACATGTATACACATGTAACTAACCTGCACAATGTGCACATGTACCCTAAAACTTAAAGTATAATTAAAAAAAAAAGATGATTCACCTAAATATATATGCACCCAATACAAGAGGACCCAGATTCATAAGGCAAGTCCTTAGAGACTTACAAAGAGACTTAGACTCCCACACAATAATAATGGGAGACTTTAACACCCCACTGGCAACATTAGACAGATCAACGAGACAGAAAGTCAACAAGGACATCCAGGAATTGAACTCAGCTCTGCACCAAGCGGACCTAATAGACATCTACAGAACTCTCCACCACAAATCAACAGAATATACATTCTTTTCAGCACCACACCACACCTATTCCAAAATTGGCCACATAGTTGGAAGTAAAGCACTCCTCAGCAAATGTAAAAGAACAGAAATTATAACAAACTGTCTCTCAGACCACAGTGCAATCACACTAGAACTCAGGATTAAGAAACTCACTCAGAACCGCTCAACTACATGGAAACTGAACAACCTGCTCCTCAATCACTACTGGCTACAGAACGAAATGAAGGCAGAAATAAAGATGTTCTTTGAAACCAACAAGAACAAAGACACAACATACCAGAATCTCTGGGACACATTCAAAGCAGTGTGTAGAGGGAAATTTATAGCACTAAATGCCCACAAGAGAAAGCAGGTAATATCTAAAATTGACAACCTAACATCACAATTAAAAGAACTAGAGAAGCAAGAGCAAACACATTCAAAAGCTAGCAGAAGGCAAGAAATAACTAAGATCAGAGCAGAACAGAAGGAAATAGAGACACAAAAAACCCTTCAAGAAATCAATGAATCCAGCAGCTGCTTTTTTTGAAAAGATCAAAAAATTGATAGACTGCTAGCAAGACTGATAAAGAAGAAAAGAGAGAAGAATCAAATAGCTGCAATAAAAAATGATAAAGGGGATATCACCACTGATCCCACAGAAGTACAAACTACCATCAGAGAATACTATAAACACCTCAATGCAAATAAACTAGAAAATCTAGAAGAAATGGATAAATTCCTGGACACATACACCCTCCCAAGACTAAACCAGGAAGAAGCTGAATCTCTGAATAGACCAATAACAGGCTCTGAAATTGAGGCAATAATTAATTGCTTACCAACCAAAAAAAGTCCAGGACCAGATGGATTCACAGCCGAATTCTACCAGAGGTAAAAGGAGGAGCTGGAACCATTCCTTCTGAAACTATTCCAGTCAATAGAAAAAAGAGGGAATCCTCCCTAACTCATTTTATGAGGCCAGCATTATCCTAATACCAAAGCCTGGCAGAGAGACAACAAAAAAAGAGAATTTTAGACTAATATCCCTGATGAACATCGATGCAAAAATCCTCAATAAAATACTTGCAAACCGAATCCAGCAGCACATCGAAAAGCTTACTCACCATGATCAAGTGGGCTTCAACCCTGGGATGCAAGGCTGTTTCAACATATGCAAATCAATAAACATAATCCAGCATATAAACAGAACCAATGACAAAAACCACATGATTATCTCAATAGATGCAGGAAAGGCCTTTGACAAAATTTAACAACTCTTCATGTTAAAAACTCTCAATAAATTAGGTATTGATGGGATGTATTTCAAAATAATAAGAGTTGTCTATGAAAAACCCACAGCCAATATCATACTGAATGGGCAAAAACTGAAAGCATTCCCTTTGAAAACTGGCACAAGAGAGGGATGCCCCCTCTCACCACTCCTATTCAACATAGTGTTGGAAGTTCTGGCCAGGGCAATCAGGCAGGAGAAAGAAATGAAGGGTATTCAATAAGGAAAAGAGGAAGTCAAATTGTCCCTGTTTGCAGACGACATGATTGTATATCTAGAAAACCCCATCGTCTCAGCCCAAAATCTCCTTAAGCTGATAGGCAACTTCAGCAAAGTCTCAGCATAAAAAACCAGTGTGCAAAAATCACAAGAATTCTTATACACCAATAACAGACAAACAGAGAGCCAAATCATGAGTGAACTCCCATTCACAATTGCTTCAAAGAGAATAAAATACCTAGGAATCCAACTTACAAGGGATGTGAAGGACCTCTTCAAGGAGAACTACAAACCACTGATCAAGGAAATAAAAGAGGATACAAACAAATGGAAGAACATTCCATGCTCATGGATATGAAGAATCAATATCATGAAAATGGCCATACTGCCCAAGGTAATTTATAGATTCAATGCCATCACCATCAAGCTACCAATAACTTTCTTCACAGAATTGGAAAAAAACTACTTTCAAGTTCATATGGAACCACAAAAGAGCCAACATTGCCAAGTCAATCCTAAGCCAAAAGAACAAAGCTGGAGGCATTATGCTACCTGACTTCAAACTATACTACAAGGCTACAGTAACCAAAACAGCATGGTACTGGTGCCAAAACACAGATATAGAACAATGGAACAGAGCAGAGCCCTCAGAAATAATGCCACACATCTACAACTATCTGATCTTTGACAAACCTGACAAAAACAAGCAATGGGGAAAGGATTCCCTATGTAATAAATGGTGTTGGGAAAACTGGCTAGCCATATGTAGAAAGCTGAAACTGGATCCCTTCCTTACACCTTATACAAAAATTAATTCAAGATGGATTAAAGACTTAAATGTTAGACCTAAAACTATAAAACCCTAGAAGAAAACCTAGGCAATACCATTCAGGACATAGGCATGGGCAAGGACTTCATGTCTAAAACACCAAAAGCAATGACAACAAAAGCCAAAATTAACAAATGGGATCTAATTAAACTAAAGAGCTTCTGCACAGCAAAAGAAACTACCATCGGAGTGAACAGGCAGCCTACAGAATGGGAGAAAATTTTTGCAATCTACTCATCTGACAAAGGGCTAATATCCAGAATCTACAATGAACTCCTACACATTTACAAGAAAAAACAAACAACCTCATCAAAAAGTGGGCGAAGGATATGAACAGACACTTCTCAAAAGAAGACATTTATGCAGCCAACAGACCCATGAAAAAATGCTCATCATCACTGGCCATCAGAGAAATGCAAATCAAAACCACAATGAGATACCATCTCACACGAGTTAGAATGGCAATCATTAAAAAGTCAGGAAACAACAGGTGCTGGAGAGTATGTGGAGAAATAGGAACACTTTTACACTGTTGGTGGGACTGTAAACTAGTTCAACCATTGTGGAAGTCAGTGTGGCGATTCCTCAGGGATCTAGAACTAGAAATACCAACTTGACTCAGCCATCCCATTACTGGGTATATGCACAAAGGATTATAAATCATGCTGCTATAAAGACACATGCACACGTATGTTTATTGCGACACTACTCACAATAGCAAAGACTTGGAACCAACCCAAATGTCCAACAATGATAGACTGGATTAAGAAAATGTGGCACATATACACCATGGAATACTATGCAGCCATAAAAAATGATGAGTTCATGTCCTTTGTAGGGACATGGATGAAGCTGGAAACCATCATTCTCAGCAAACTATCGCAAGGACAAAAAACCAAACACCACATGTTCTCACTCATAGGTGGGAATTGAACAATGAGAACACTTGGACACAGGAAGGGGAACAACACACACTGGGGCCTGTTGTGGGGTGGGGGGTGGGGGGAGGGTTAGCAGTAGCAGATATACCTAATGTTAAATGATGAGTTAATAGGTGCAGCACACCAACATGGCTCATGTATGCATATGTAACAAATCTGCATGTTGTGCACATGTACCCTAAAACTTAAAGTATAATTAAAAAAATAAAAAAATAAAGACACACCCAAAACTGGGTAATTTATAAAGGAAAACATAAAAATAAAAATAAAAATAAAAATTGTATTTTTTATTTTTAAAAAGTGTTAAGTTCATTTGCTTTCATGAGATAAACCCTGCATCATCATGGTGTGTTATCATTGTTGTATGTAGATGGTCTTAATTTGTTAAAATTTTGTTAAGAATGGTTATGTACATGTTCATTATGGATATTTGTCTATAGTTTTAATTTCTTGTAATGTATTTCCCTAGTTTTGTTTTGAGGATAATGTTGGGCTAATAGAATGAGTTAGGGAGTTTCTACTCACCTTATATTTTCTGGAAAAAAATTGTGTAGAATTATTGTTTCTTCCCTAAGTGTTTGAAAACCATTTGAGCCTACAGTTTTCTTTGTGAGAAAAAGTTTTTGCTAAACTGCCATTTAAAAGAAAGATTGTAGAGCTATTCACTTACGTATTTTTTTTCTTGTGTGAGTTTTGGCATTTTCTTTCTTCCAAAAAATTTGTCTATTTTGTTTATGTTGCCAAATGCATTAAGTTTTCTATCTATTATCATTATAATGTCAGCCTAGTTTATAGTAATATCTCGTCATATTCCTACTATTGGTAATTTTTATTATTTATCTACCTATCTATCATCTATTTATCTATCATCTTTTCAATAAACCAGCTTGTGGTTTCACTTCTCTTTTTTCCATTTAATTAATTTTTCGTTATATCTTTACAATATTTTTTGCCTACTTTTTATTTTATGTTTTTTTCTAGTTTGTTAAGGTAGAAGTTCTGGTCATGGATTTAAGACTTCTCTTATTTTCTAATGTAAGTGTTTATTATTGTTTTTTTAACAACTGCTTTATCCATATCTTATAAATTTTGCTATGTCATGTTTTCATTTTTATTTAGTTCAGGTGACTAGAGGAAATATAATACAATGGTACTCTGGATCTCCAAGATGAAGGAATTCTAGAGTTAAGTGGTAGACTTAATAGGCCATACCATATAAATAAAGGAGAAGAATTAATGAATGGGTTTCTAAGTTTCCATTTGGAAATCTGTGATGAGGGTTAAGATAGGCCATTTTCAAGATACTTCATAAGTGGAGAGAGCCTGGATTAATTGTCACTTGTCATAATTAAAGCTGTTCTGTGGAAGAAGTAACTTACTACCTTCACCCTTGTTTGTTTGGTCAACTAGTCAACTTCTCTTTTCCCTTATTTCTTATTTCTACCTATTCTAAGAAAGAATTTTTTCTGAAAATCTATGTCTACCTCTAACAAGTGTCAAATATGATTTATTTTGAAAAGATAATTTTTATTTCAACATAAAAATGTATGAATACCATTTAAAAGAACTATACTCCAGTTTTCTGCCATTTTATATGGTACCTTTGATAATTTCTGGTTTCATTTGCTTGGTCTGGTTAAAACCTACATCTAGAACTATCTTTGTCCTCTATAAAACTATTCAATTTAAAATGAGAGTAAAGGCCTTGGGGAGTCTTTTTCTGTCCATACATATCAGTGTAGAGTCTAATGTGTTGTTTTTAATTACCATATTATGTTTTTTAAAACTATGGAAAGAAGTGAAAAAAGTTCTTCAGAGTAGAATATCTGGTGGTATTTAATTCCTTCACTTTTGATCAAACACAAGCATTCAATATGCCATGAACTTCACAAAAATAACAAAATTAAAATAATAAATTACATAAATCATATTTTATTTTAAAATTTACAATCTATGTTTGGAAAAAAAACATTTTGTCCTGGAAAAATATAATTGTTTAAAATTAGTAAGAGAGGAAACTTGACCAATAACAGTAATGGCAGAGGGATTGAACAGCTGAGAATATTTTTGTAACTTAAGAAAGCTGCTCATTACTTTCTGTTGTTTATATCCTTGATTATTATGAGAGTATTAAATATGGAAGGAAAGACACTCCCAGAGACGTATCTGGCTTGACTACATCAGCAAGCTATTGGACATCTTAGAAGAGAGTTATTATTATACCCACATCCATGATTAAAGGGTACATAAACTGTTAAACAGAAAGCAGTCCATTTATAATTCTAGTAAGTGTAGCAGTGGTTGGGCAATTGGCAGTGTGCCATAGGAAGCACATTACTTAGAAAATTAAGCAACCAAATCAAGAAATCCACTAAAACCCATCTTACCAAAATAACATAGATAAGATGGCATTTTGAAAGTAGAATTTTATAATTCATGAGTGAAGAAGAGCTATATCGTCTTAAATGCATATATGTATACAAACCTATCCTAGGAAATAATAACAGAAATAATACAAGGCAGAAAAGTATAATTTCCAAAGAATTGTTTTCAAAACATTCAGCACATAAAAAGAAACTTTGTGCACATAAATGTTGCAAGTTTTAAATGCAAAAAAAGTTCTTAAGGAAAATTAAACATACTACTCCAGGGAACACATAAATGTTAAGTTCAGGCAGCACTATGCACAATAGCAAACACATGGTATCAACCTAAATGCCCATCAATGGCAGACTAGATAAAGAAAATGTGGGAAGTGCTGGCAAGATGCCCAAATAGGAACAGCCCCGGTCTGCAGCTCCCAGCAAGATCAATGCAGAAAGCGGGTGATTTCTGCATTTCAAACTGAGGTACCTGGCTCATTTCATTGGGATTGGTTAGACAGTGGGTGCAGCCCACGGAGGGAAAGCCAAAGCAGGGTGGGGTGTTGCCTTACCCGGGAAGTGCAAAGGGTCGGGGAGCTCCCTCCCCTAGCCAAAGAAAGCCATGAGGGGCTGTGCCCTGAGGAACGGTGCATTCCCACCCAGATACTATGCTTTTCCTACAGTCTTTGCAACCAGCAGACCAGGAGATTCCCTCGGGTGCTTACACCACCAAGGCCCTGGGTTTCAAGCACAAAACTTGGCAGCCATTTGGGCAGACACCGAGCTAGCCACAGTTTTTTTTTTCATACCCCCTTGGCTCCTGGAATGCCAGTGAGACAGAATCATGAACTACCCTGGAAAGGGAGCTGAAGCCAAGGAGCCAAGTGGTCTAGCTCAGCAGATCCCACCCCCACAGAGCCCAGCAAGCTAAGATTCACTCGCTTGAAATTCTTGCTGCCAGCACAGCAGTCTGAAGTCCACCTGGGAAACTCCAGCTTGGTAGGGGGAGGGGTGTCTGCCATTACTGAGGCTTGAGTAGGCAGTTTTCTTCTCACAGTGTAAACAAAGCCACTGGGAAGTTCGAACTGGGGGAAACCCACCAAAGCAAAGCTGCTGTAGCCAGACTGCCTCTCTAGATTCCTCCTCTCTGGGCAGGGCATCTCTGAAAGCAAGGCAGCAGCCCCAGTCAGGGGCTTATACATAAATCTCCCATTTCCCTGGGACAGAGCAACTGGGAAAAGGGGCAACTATGGGCCCAGCTACAGGAGATTTAAAAGTTCTTGCCTGCCGGCTCTGAAGAGAGCAGCAGATCTCACAGCACAGCGCTCGAGCTCTGCTAAGAAACAGACTGCCTCCTCAAGTGGGTCCCTGAACTCCATGCCTCCTGATAGGGAGACACCTCCCAGCATGTGTCAAAAGACACCTTATACAGGAGAGCTCCAGCTGGCATCTGGCAGGTGCTCCTCTGAGACAAAGCTTCCAGAGGAAGGAATAGGCAGCAATATTTGCTGTTCTGTAGCCTCCGCTGGTGATAGCCAGGCAATAGGGTCTGGAGTGGACCTCCAGCAAACCTGCAGCAGTGGAGCCTGTTAGAAGGAAAACTAACAAATAGAAAAGAATAGCATCAACATCAACAAAAAGGACATCCACACAAAAACCCCATGTGAACTTCACCAACATCAAAGACCAAAGGTAGATAAATCCACGAAGATGAGGAAAAACCTAAAGGCCAAAAATTTCAAAAAACAGAATGCCTCTTCTCTTCCAAAGGTTCACAACTCCTCACCAGCAAGGGAACAAAACTGGATGAAGAATGAGTTTGATGAATTGACAGAAGTTGGCTACAGAAAGTGGGTAATAACAAACTCCTCCAAGCTAAAGGAGCATGTTCTAACGCAATGTGAAAAAGCTAAGAACCTTGAAAACAGGTTATAGGAATTGTTAACTAGAAAAAACAGCTTAGCGAAGAAGATAAATGACCTGATCGAGCTGTAAAACACAGCACGAGAACTTTGTGAAGCATACAAAAGTATCAATAGCCGAATCGATCAAGTAAAAGAAAGGATATCAGAGATTGAAGATAACTTAATGAAATAAAATGTGAAGACATGATTAGAGAAAAGAAAAAGGAACAAACAAAGCCTCCAAGAAACATGGGACTATGTGAAAAGCCGAAACCTACATTTGGTTGGTGTACCTGAAAGTGACAGGGAGAATGGAATCAAGTTGGAGAACTCGTTTCAGGATATTATCCAGGAGAATTTCCCCAACCTATCAAGACAGGCCAACATTCAAATTCAGGAAATACAGACAACACCACAGAGATACTCCTCAAGAAGAGCTACCCTAAGACACATAATCATCAGATTCACCAAGGTAGAAATGAAGGAAGAAATGTTCAGGCAGCCAAAGAGAAAGGTCGGGTTACCCACAAAGGGAAGTCCATCAGACTAACAGTGGATCTCTCTGCAGAAACCCTACAAGCCAGAAGAGAGTCGGGGCCAATATTCAACATTCTTAATGAAAAGAATTTTTAACCCAGAATTTCATATCCAGCCAAACTAAGTTTCATAAGCGAAGGAGAAAGAAAATTATTTACAGACAAGCAAATGCCAAGAGACTTTGTCACCACCAGGCCTGCCTTACAAGAACTCCTAAAAGAAACACTAAATGTAGAAATGGAAAACTGGTTCCAGCCACTGCAAAAACATACCAAATTGTAAAGCGCATCGACACTATGAAAAAACTAAATCAGCTCATGGGCAAAATAACGAGCTAGCATCATAATTACAGGATCAGATTCACACATAACAATATTAACTTTAAGTGTAAATGGGTTAAATGCCCCAATTAAAAGACACAGTCTGGCAAATTGATTAAAGAGTCAAGACCCACCTGGGCGCTGTACTCAGAAGACCCATCTTATGTGCATGGACGCACATAGACTCAAAATAAAGGGATGGAGGTATATTTACCAAGCAAATGAAAAGAAAAATAAACATGGGTTGCAATCCTTATCTCTGATAAAACAGACTTTAAACCAATAAAGATTTAAAAAGCCAAAGAAAGGCATTACCTAATGGTAAAGTGATCAATGCAACAAGAAGAGCTAACTATCCTAAATATATGTGCACCCAATACAGGAGCACCCAGATTCATAAAGGAAGTTCTTAGAGACCTGCAAAGAGACTTAGACTCCCACACAATAACAGTGGGAGACTTTAACATCCCACTGTCAATATTAGACAGATTAATGAGACAGAAAATTAACAAGGATATTCAGGACTTGAACTCAGCTCTGGACCAAAAGGACCTAATAGACATCTACAGAACTCTCCACCCCAAATCAACAGAATATGCATACTTCTCAGCATCACATTGCACTTATTCTAAATTTGACCACGTACTTGGAAGTAAAACACTCCTCAGCAAATGCAAAAGAATGGAAATTATAACAAACAGCTTCTCAGACCACAGGGTAATCAAATTAGAACTCAAGATTTAGAAATGTATTCAAAACTGCACAACTACATGGAAACTGAACAACCTGCTCCTGAATGACTAACAAAATTAAGGCAAAAATAAATAACAAAATTAAGGCAGAAATAAATAATTCTTTGAAACCAATGAGAACAAAGTCACAATGTACCAGAATCTCTGGGACACAGCTAAAGCAGTGTTTAGAGGGAAATTTATAGCACTCAATGCCCATAGAAGACAGCAGGAAAGATCTAACATCAACACCATAACATGACAACTAAAAGAACTAGAGAAGCAAGAGAAAACAAATTCCAAAGCTACCAGAGACAAGAAATAACTATGGTCAGAGCAGAACGGAAGGAGATAGAGACTCGAAAAACCCTTCCAAAAATCAACGAATCTAGGAGCTGGTATTTGGAAAAGATTAACAAAATAGATAAACCACCAGCCAGGCTAATAAAGAAGAAAAGACAGAAGAATCAAATAGACACAATAAAAATGATAAAGCGGATATCACCACTGATCCCACAGAAATACAAACTACCATCAGAGAATACTATAAACACCTCTACACAAATAAACTAGAATATCTAGAAGAAATAGATGAATTCCTGGATACATACACCCTCTCAAGGCTAAACCAGGAAGAAGTTGAATCCCTGAATAGATCAATAACAAGTCCTGAAATTGAGGAAATAATTAATAGCCTACCACCCAAAAAAAATCCAGAACCAGAAGGACTCAGAGCCAAATTCTACCAGAGGTACAAAGAGGAACTGGTACCATTCCTTCTGAAACTATTCCAAACAACAGAAAAAGGGACTCCTCCCTAACTCATTTTATGAGGCCAGCATCATGCTAAAACCAAAACCTGGCAGAGACACAACAAAAAAAGAGAATTTCAGACCAATATCCCTGATGAACATTGATGCAAAAATCCTCAATAAAATGTTGGCAAACCGAATCCAGCAGTACATCAAAAAGCTTATCCACCATGATCACGTAGGCTTCATCCCTGTGATGCAAGGCTGGTTAAACATATGCAAATGAATAAACATAACACATCATGTAAACAGAACCAATGACAAAACCACATGATTATCTCAGTAGGGGCAGAATAGGCCTTCAACAAAATTCAACAGCCTTTCATGCTACAAACTCTCAATAAACTAGGTATTGATGGGACAAATCTCAAAAAAATAAGAGCTATTCATGACAAACCCACAGCCAATATCTTGCTGAATAGGCAAAAGCTGGAAGCATTCCCTTTGAAAACTGGCACAAGACAAGGATGCCCTCTCTCACCACTGCTATTCAACATAGTATCGCAATTCTCATCAGGGCAATCAGGGAAGAGAAAGAAATAAAGGGTATTCAAATAGGAAGAGATAAAGTCAAATTGTCTCTATTTGCAGATGACATGATTGTATATTTAGAAAACACCATAATCTCAGCCCAAAATCTCCTTAAGCTGATAAACAACTTCAGCAAAGTCAGGAAACAAAATCAATGTGCAAAAATCAAAGGTATTCCTATACACCAATAATAGACAGAGAGTCAAATCATGAATGAACTCCCATTCACATTACTACAAAGAGAATAAAATACCTAAGATTACAACTTACAAGGAATGTGAAGGACCTCTCCAAGGAGAACTACAAACCACTGCTCAAGGAAATAAGAGAGGACACAAATGGAAAAACATTCCATGCTCATGGATAGGAAGAATCAATATCGGAAAATGTACTGCCCAAAGTAATTTATAGATTCAATGCTATTCCCATCAAGCTACCATTGACTTTCTTCACAGAATTAGAAAAAACTACTTTAAATTTCATACGGAATCAAAATAGAATCTGTATATCCAAGACAATCCTAAGCAAAAAAACAAAGCTGGAGGCATCATGCTACCTGACTTCAAATTATACTACAAGGCTACAGTAACCAAAACAGCATGGTACTGGTACCAAAGCAGGTATGTAGACCAATGGAACAGAACAGAGACCTCAGAAATAACGCCACACATCTACAACCATCTGATCTTCAATAAAGCTGACAAAAACAAGCAATGGGGTAAGGATTCCCTATTTAATAAATGGTGTTGGGGAAACTGGCTAGCCATATGCAGAAAACTGAAACTGGACCCCTTCCTTACACCTTATACAAAAATTAACTCAAGATGGATTAAAGACTTAAACTTGAGACCTAAAACCATAAAAAAATCCTAGAAGAAAACCTAGGCAATACCATTCTGGATACAGGCATGGGAAAAGTCTTCATGACTAAAACACCAAAAGCAATGGCAACAAAAGCCAAAATAGATAAATGGGATCTAATTAAACTAAAGTGCTTCTGCACAACATAAGAAACTATCATCAGACTGAACAGGCATCCTATAGAATGGGAGAAAATTTTTGCAATCTATCCACCTGACAAAGGGCTAATATTCAGAAACTACAAAGAACTTAACAAATTTACAAGAAAAAAAAAACAAACAACCCCATCAAAAAGTGGGAAAAGGATATGAACAGACACTTCTCAAAAGAGATTTATGTGGCCAACAAACATATGAAAAAAAGCTCATCATCACTGGTCATTAGGGAAATGCAAATCAAAACCACAATGAGATACCATCTCACACCAATTAGATTGGTGACCATTAAAAAGTCAGGAAACAACAAGCTAGAGAGGATTTGGAGAAATAGGAACACTTTTACACAGTTGGTGGGAGTGTAAATTAGTTCAACCATTGTGGAAGACAACGTTGTGATTCCTCAAGGATCTAGAACCAGAAATACCATTTGACCCAGCAATCCAATTACTGGGTATATACTCAAAGGATTATAAATCTTTCTAGTATAAAGACACATGCACATGTGTGTTTGTTGCAGCACTATTCACAATAACAAAGACTCGGAACCAACACAAATGTCCATCAATAATAGACTGGATAAAGAAAATGTGGCACATAGACATCATGGAATACTATGCAGCCATATAAAAGGATGAGTTCATGTCTTTTGCAGTGAAATGGATGAAGCTGGAAACCATCATTCTTAGCAAACTAACACAGGAACAGAAAAACAAACACTGCATGTTCCTATTCATAAGTGGGATTTGAACAATGAGAACACATGGAGACAGGGAGAGAAACATCACACACTGGGGCCTGTCGGGGGTGGGGGGCTAGGGGAGGTATAATATTAGGAGAAATACTTAATGTAGATGACGGATTGATGGGTGCAGGAAACCATTATGGCACATGTATACTTATGTAACAAACCTGCACATTCTGCACATGTATCTCAGAACTTAAAGCATAATTAAAAAAAAGAAAATGTGGTACATATACACCATGGAATACTATGAAGCCATGAAAAAAAATGATATCCTGTCTTTTGCAAGAACAAGGATGGAGCTAGAGGCAATTATTCTTAGCAAATTAACGTAGGAACAGAGCAATCCGAATACCACATGTTCTCACTTAAGGAGCTAAATTATGAGAACACATGGACACATAGAGGGGAACACCACACACTGGGGCCTATCAGAGGGTGGAGGGTGGGAGGAAGGAGAGGACCAGAAAAAAAAAAACTAATGGATACTAGGCTTATTACCTGGTTGATAAAATAATCTGTACAACAAACTCCCATGACTCAAGTTTACCTATATAACAAACCAGCACAGGTATTTCTGAACTTAAAATAAATGTAAAAAAATTAGTGAAGCAGCCTTATTGCTTACATGGAGAAAGTTTTAGTGATCTGAATAGAAGATCAAACCACAAGCAAAATTCTCTTACTCTGTTAATAATATTTACAATATTAGTAAGTATAGGTGTAACAATATATAGTATTATATATAATATCTAAAACTGTTTTATTGCATGTATTTACACATTATACAAAATTATTTATTACTATTTGCAAATTACATATATATATGAAACTGTTATACACACACACACACACACATTCTTTTACTCTTTGTCCTAGTAGTTGCAGGTGTATTATTTATACTGTGTTGTTCATTTACTCATTCAATACATATTTATTGCCCAATAATAGGATCTCAATCATTATTTTTTATTAAATAAATGAATATAAAACATAATGACAGAGACTGGAAACAGAAAAGTAAATATTTGATGGTCTCTCTTGACTAAGAGAAGATGACTATAAACGCATGACTAACACAAATACAGAACCGTCTATGAGACAGTGTTATGATGCACATATGCACAAGTTGCTGTGGGGATTCATAGCAAATGATCAGTTTTGTTTGAGTGATTACTGAAGGCTGAGAGAGGAGTGGTGATATAATGAAGAGTATACCCTTCAGAGTCCCAGAGATAAAGATTTTAATTTTAATGCTGATACTAGCTTTGACACTGTGCTCAAGGACTCTAAATTCTGTAAGAAGAGGAGCACAGAGGCTTTTGCTTGCAAAGTAGAGTATGAAAGCACTCAGAACAATATTTGGCAATTCATATCAATCCAGTATGTCCTTCTTAGAAGTGAGTGTATATTAGCTGTCCATTGCTGCATAAAATGTATCCCCCAAAACTTAACAGCTTAAAATCTACATTTGTTATCTCAGAGTTTGTGTTGGTGAAGAATATGGGCATGGCATATCTAGGTTCTTTACAACATGGTCTCTCATAAGGCTGCAATCAAGGTGCTGGTCAGGACTAGGGTCTCATCCGAAGTTTTGTCAAAGGAAGGATCCATTTTAAATTAAATGTATCTCTTTTAGAATCTGAGAATGGGCAATTTGGCTACAAAGTAAAGTGATACATAAAGCAGCTGCAATAGATACTCTACAACCCAAATATTCTGTTTTATCAATCATATCTTTTTATCTTCTTTAAGTTAACTTTATCATTCTGTTTGTTAAATTGAATATTGAGCTTCATGCATTGTACATGTTAGTACAAAAAGCCTGATGTTTGCTACTTCAGTTTTGATAAAGTATTACAGAAGGCATAATGATTTTGAAGTACATCTTATGAGGAAAACATCACGTGGAAGTTGGGGAAGCATATTAGTTTTTTAATGCTGCTATTAAAAAAAACACAAAATTACTGGCATAAAATAAAAATGTAATATTTTACAGTTCTGAAGGAAAGAAGTCTTAAATTTAAGGTATTGGTAGGGCTGCATTACTTCTGTAGGCACCAGAGGAGAATGTTTTTCTCTTTTCCATCTTCTAGAGACTACCTGCATTCCTTGGCTTGTACCCCCTCTTCACATTACTCCAAACTCTTGCTTCTATCCTCCTGTTTCCTACTATTAACTCTGATCCTCCAGCCACCCTCTCATGAGGACCTTTGTCACTACATTGGGCCTATCCAGATAAGCCCAAATGATCTCCTCATCTCAAATTATTTAACTTAATCACGTATGCAAATACTCCTTTACCATGTAAAATTATATATTCATAGGTTTCAGGGATTAGGATACAAACATCTTTATTTAGACTACCACATGGTTTGCAAAATGCAAGACGCAACAGTGAAAGACAGAGGGTGCCTATTGACAGATTTTTAAAGGTGTCCTTTTGCTCTTGAAATAATATGTAACAGCAATTAATCCAGGCTAAACATATGAAACTTTAAGTTGTATTAAATATTGTGTATATTTGTAGCTCCATATATACTAACCACAGTGACTTTTTTTTATTTTACTAATCTCTTTTGAGAAATGAATTGATAGACCCTGAGGAAAGAAAAATCAAAGTTCTCAGAAAATTATAGTAGGCATGGTTTTATTTTTGTAAAAGTACAGTATATGTTGGAATAGAAACGTGAATTAATTTGTGTAGCTCCTCTAGAGAAACACAGTAGTAATAACTGAAATTATAGAGAAGTACACTTTAACCCAAGGATATACTTCCTAGCAGTAAGAGTCATTTCCTTCAGGAGAAAGTGACTTTTCAATGATTAGAAGAGTTCAAGAAGAACCTGAATAACCAATGCATTAGATAAGCATACTTAATTCAGAGATCAGTGGATCTCAAACTGTGAGAAATTTTTAATTAGAGTACATTAAAATAAAAAGCTTTACACACACTGGGGCCTGTTGGGGGGCTGGGGGAGGGACAGCATTAGGAGAAATACCTAATGTAAATGATGAGTTGGTGGGTGCAGCAAACCAACATGACACATGTATACCCATGTATCAAACCTGCACGTTGTGCACATGTACCCTAAAACTTAAAGTATAAAAAAAAGAAAATAAAATTTTATGGTTTTATCATAAAAATAGATTAATCAAATGTAAAGCTCTTTTTTATTTAGATATTATGTTTTCTTTTTTTTTAAGGTGGGATTTTTATTTATTTATTTATTTATTCCTGGCTGAATTTTTTTTTATTATACTTTAAGTTTTAGGGTACATGTGCACAACGTGCAGGTTAGTTACATATGTATACATGTGCCATGTTGGTGTGCTGCACCCATTAACTCGTCATTTAACATTAGGTATATCTCCTAATGCTATCCCTCCCCCCTTCCCCCACCCCACAGCAGGCCCTGGTGTGTGATGTTTTCTTTATTTTTAGAAATAAAATGACCTTTATTTTATGAAACGATGACAATATATTATAATAATTGTGTAATAATTGTGGTTGTTGTGACTCTACATGACAACTAAAATATTAGAAACCATAACAGGAACACCTCTCTTTATTGTACTTTGCATTATTGCACTTTGCAGATATTGTGATAATTACACATTGAAGATTTGTGGCAACTCTGTGTCAAGTAGGTCTGTTGATGATAAATTTTAAACAACATATGTTCATTTTCTGTCTCTATGTCACACTTTGGTAATTCCTGCACTATATCAAAGCTTTTCACAGTTATTATATCTGCTATAGTGATCTGTGATCAGTGATTTTTAATGTTACTATTGTAATTGTTTTGGAGCTCAATTGTGCCCATATAACATGGAGAACTTAATCAACAAGTGTATGTGTTCTGAGTGAGCAGCTGACTAGCTTTTCCACTATGTCTTTTCCTCTTCTTGGGATACCTTATTTCATGACACACAATAGTATTTAAATGAGACCAATAATAAACTTAAAATGACCTCCATGTGTTCAAGTGTAAGGAAGAGTAGCATATCTTTCACTTTACATCAAAAGTTAGGAATGATTAAGCTTAGTGAGAGTGAGGAAGGCAAATTGAAAGACAAGATAGGCCAAATTATAGGCTTTTAACCCCCAAACAGCCACATTTTGAATGCAAAAAAAAAAAATTCTTGAAGGCAATTAGAAGTATTACTCCAGTGAATACATAAATGTTAAGAAAGTGAAGTAGTCTTATTGCTAATATGGGGAAAGTTTTAGTGGTCTGAATAGAAGATCAAACCAGAAACAATATTCCCTTAAGCCAAAGTCTAATTCAGAGCAAGGACCCAATTCTCTTCAATTCTATGAAGACTGGGAAAGGTGAGGAAGCTACAGATGGAAAGTTTAAAGCTAACAGGTGTTAGTCCATGAGGTTTAAGAAAAAAGTCCACCTCTTCAACATAAATGTGCAAAGAGAAAAAACAAGTGCTGATGCAAAAGCTACAGCAAGTTGTCCAGAACAAATAGCTAAGATTATTGATGAATATAGTTACACTAATTAACCAATTTTAAGTTTAGACAAAACATCTTTGTACTGGAAGAAGATGCCATCTAAGTCTTTAATCGCCAGAAAGGAGAAATCAATGCGTAGCTTCAAAACTTCAAAGGACAAGCTGACTCTCACATTAGGCATTAGCAATCTTGGTGACTTTAAGTTGAAGACAATGCTCATTTACTATTCTGAAAATTGTAGGACCCTTAAGAAATATGATAAATCCACTATGCTTGTGCTCTATGAGTGGAACAATACAACAGTTTAAAACATTGGGATACTGAATATTTTAAGCCTACTGTTGAAACCTACTGCTCAAGAAGAAAAAAGAAGATTCCTTTCAAAATATTACTGCTCATTCATAATGCACCTGGTCAACCAAAAGCTCCACTGGGGATATACAAAGAGATTCATGTTGCTTTCATGCCTTCTAACTCAATATAAATCTTGCCACTCATGAAACAAGGAGAACATTTGACTTTCAAGTCTTATTTAAGAAATATATTTCAAAGGCTATAGATGTCGTAAATAATGATTCATCTGATGGATCGGGACAAAGTAAATTGAAAATCTTTTTGAAACTATTTAACATTTTAGATATCAATAAGAACATTTCTGATTCATGAGAAGAGGGTAAATTATCAGCATTAACAGGAGTTTGGAAAAAGTTGATTACAAGTCTCATGGATAACTTGGAGGGATTCAGACATAAGTGCAGGAAGTCACCATAAATGTGGTGGAGATAGCAAGAGAACTAGAATTAGAAGTGAAGCCTAAATATCTGACTGAATTGCAGCAATCTCATATTGAAACCAGAATAAATTAAGAGTTACTTCTTATAGATGAGCAAAGAGATTTCTTGAGCTGGAATCTACTCCTGGTGAAGATACTGTGAATATTTATAAAATAACAACAAAGGATTTAGAATATTAAATATACTTAGTTGTTCAAGCAGTGGCAGGGTTTCAGAGAATACACTCTAATTCTTTTTTCTTTTCCTTTTATTCTAACCTCCACCCTCAAGTAGATGGTGGTGTCTTTTGTACCATTCATCACAGCCATGTGTACTCATTGTTTAGCTCCCTCTTAGAAGTGAGAACATGTGGTATTTGGTTTTCCGTTCCTGGGTTGATTTGCTAGGATAATGGCCTAGAGCTCTATACATGTTGCTACAAAAAACATGATTTCATTTTTTTGGCTGCATAGTATTCCATGGTGTATATGTACCACATTTTCTTTATCCAGTTCACCAATGATGGGCATCTAGTTTTGTTCCATGTCTTTGATCCTGTGAATAGTGCTATGATAAACATACTAGTGCGTGTGTCTTTTTGGTAGGACAATTTATATCACTTTGTGTATATAACAAGTAATAGGATTGTGGGGTTGAATGACAGTTCTGTTCTAAGTTGTTTGAGAAATCTTCAAACTGCTTTCCACAGTGGCTAGACTAATTAAATTTCCACAAGCAGTGTATAAGTATTCCCTTTTCTCTACAACCTCTCCAGCATGTGTGTATTAGTTAGTTCTTGTATTGCTAAAAGAACTATGGGAAACTGGGTAATTTATAAAGAAAAGAGGTTAAATTGGCTTATCATTCCACCAGCTGTACAGAGAGCATGGCTGGGGAGGCCTCAGGAAACTTACAATCATTACAGAAGGTGAAAGGGAAGCAAGCATGTCTTATGTGTCTGGAGAAGGAAAAAGAGAGAGCAGGGGGAGGTGCTACATACTTTTAAACAACCAGATCTGGTGAGAACTCACTCACTATTATTAAAACAGCATGCGGGAAGGCCATCCCCATGATCCAATCACCTCCCACTACCCCCTCCTCCAACACTGAAGATTACAATTCAACATGAGATTTGAGAGGGACACAAATCAAAACCATACCAATCTGATATTATGTGACTTTTTAAAAATAGCTATTCTGAATGGTATGAGATAGTATCTCATTGTGGTTTTGATTTGCATTTCTCTAATGATTAGTAATTTTGAGTATTTTTTCATATGTTGGCCACATAGTATATCTTCTTTTAAGAAGCATCTGTTCATGTTTTTGCCCACTTTTTAATGGGGTTGTTTATTTTTCACTTGTTTATTTAATTTTTAAATAGATTCTGAATATTAAACCTTTGTTAGATGCATAGTTTGCAAATATTTATTCCCATTCTGTAGGTTGTCGGCTTACTCTCTTGATAGTATGTTTTGCCATGCAGAAGGCTCTTTAGTTTAATTAGCTCTCATTTATCTAGTTTTATTATTATTATTATTTTGCAATTGCTTTTGGAGACTTTGTCATGAAATCTTTGCCAAGACTTATGTCCAGAATGGTATGTCTTAAGTTTTCTTCTAGGGATTTAATACTTCCAGGTTTTACATTTAATTCTTTAATCTATCTTTTTTTTTCTTTTTTGGAGATGGGATCTCACGCTGTCACCCAGGCTGGAAGTGCAGTAGTGCCATCTCAGCTCACTGCAACCTCCACCTCCCAGGTTCAAGTGATTCTCTTGCCTCAGCCTCTTGAGTAGCTGGGATTACTGTAATGCCTCACAATGCCTGGATAATTTTTGTATTTTTAGTAGAGATGGGGTTTCACCATGTTGGCCAGGCTGGTCTTGAACTCCTGACCTCAAGTGATCCTCCCGCCTCAGCCTCCCAAAGTGCTCGGATTACAGGCGTGAACTACTGTGCCTGTTCAAGTCTTTAATTGCTCTTGAGTTGATTTTTGTATATTTTGAAAAACAGGTGTCCAGTTTCAGTCTCCTGCATATTCCTAGCCAATTATCCCAGCACCATTTACTGAATAGGGAGTTCTCTCTCCATTGCTCGTTATTGCCAGCTTTGTCAAAAATCGGATAGTTGTGAGTGTTCAGCTTTACTTCTGGGTTCTCTAATCTGTTTCACTGGTCTACATGTCTAGATTTCTATCAGTGCCATGCTGTTTTGATTACAATAACCTTATATTATAGTTTGAAGACAGGTATATTGGGGCCACGAGCTTTGTTCCTTTTGCTTAGGATTGCCTTTCTTATTTGGGTTATTTGTTGGTTTGATATGAATTTTAGAATAGTTTTTTCCAATCATGTGAAAAATGACATTGGTAGTTTTATAGAAATAGCATTGAACTTGTAAATTGTTTTGGGATGTATGGCCGTTTTTACAATATTGATTATTCCAATCCATGGGTATGGATTGTTTTTCCATTTGTTTGTGTCATTCATGATTTCTTTCAGAAGTGTTTTGTAGTCCTTTTTGCAGAGAACTTTCGACTCCCTGGTTAGATGTTTCACTAAATATTTTATTATTTTTGTGGCCATGGTGACTGGAATTGAATTCTTGATTTGGCTCTCAGTTTTGACATTATTTGTATATAAAAGTGCTACTGGTTTTTGTATATTGATTTCGTTTCCTGAAAATGTACTAAAGTTGTTTTTGTGATCTAGAAGCCTTTGTGCAGAGATTATGAGGTTTTCTAGGTATAGAATCATATCATCTGAGAAGAGAGATAGTTTGAATTTCTCTAATCCTGTTCGGATGACTTTTCTTTATTTGTCTTGCCCAGCTGCTCTGGCTAAGTCTTCCAGTACTATGTTGAATAGCAGTGGTAAGAGTTGGTATCTTTGCATTTGGCCAGTTGGCAGAAGGAATGTGTCCAGCCTTTGCTAATTCAGTATGATGTTGGCTGTGGGTTTATCATAGGTGGCTCTCATTATTTTAAGGTATGTTCCTTTAATGCCTAGTTTGTTGAGGGTTTTTAATATAAAGTGATGTTGAATTTTATTGAAAACCTTCTTTATGTCTACTGAGATGATGAGATTTTTGTATTTACTTATGTTTATGTAATAATTGTCATTTATTGATTTGCATATGTTCAACCAATCTTGCCTCCCGAGAGTAAAGCCTACTTCATTATGGTAGATTAGCTTTTTGATGTGCTGCTGAATTTGATTTGCTAGTACTTTGTTAAGGATTTTT